>NC_000018.10:13910649-14210699 GCF_000001405.40 Homo sapiens
CAGCTGCTGCCAGAAGGTTCCCTGACCAGGGGCTGCTGGTCCCTGGTCTAGTCCTGGCTGGGCTGAGGCTGCTCCAGTTACACTCAGCACTAGGGCTCCCTTCAGGGCACCAGGCATCTGGAGGATAGAGAGGCAGCTTGGAATCTCTCAATCCATCTACTTCTCATCACAACAGTGTTTGCCCCAAATCATGCCAACCACAGTGGGGGAGCTGGCAGATGCCCCTGTGTCCCAGTGTCTCTCCTACAAAACCAACACCAGTCACCACCCCATCATGGGTGAAAGCATCATCCCCAGAAAATGCTTCCTTTTTGAATTCTTATCTTTTACACCTGAGACCAGGTTGACATTGGCTCACTTAATCCCATGATTTATGATTTATAAAAAGCAGTCAGCGTGGCTCAGCAGGGAACACAGGCAGGTGCAGTTGCCTTAGGTGAGAGTGCGAAGCAGCAAAACCCCAGAGCTGCGGTGATTGCTAGAGCAAGGAGGCCAGTAACAGTAGCAGGGACTAGGGGCCAAAGGACACAGGGACAGGAGAGGAGCTGAGGGCCGGGCAGCCGAGAGCAGGGGCCGGAGTGTCAGGGAGCAACCCAGGCAGCCTGCAGCCTCTCCTGGAGCTCCCTTTTTATTAGATAAAGAAACTCCATCAAGTCCTTGTTTTACCTTAAAAACTAGTACTAAATTCTTCCCTGCACAGTCCCATTTTCATTCTCATCTCTGAAATGGCTCAAAATTTCCTCTTTTGAAAAAGCATAAACTAGTTTATAACTGGTTTAGTTAGCCAAACAAATGCCATGAAATAAAAGGATGTCAGTAAAGATCTGCTTTTTCTCCCAGATGAAGGCTTTAAAATTTGCTGGGTATCTTTGGACGAGTGCCTGGAAGACTTCTCTGCCTTACCTAGCTCCTATTCGCCCCACCTTTAAAAAGTGGCCGAGTCCAGCCCAATCAGACCCCAGGGCCACCATGAGTGCAGCGGGTAGCTTTGGCTTCTGGACCTTGCTCTGGAGTCACTGGCTTTGCGCCATCTATGACAGGGTCTCCATCCTAGGGTCTGGGGGATGTTAACTGGGAAAAAGGAGATTGGGGCATATGAGGAGGGCAGGAGGAAGAAAGATTTAAGATCTTTTGGGGGCTTTAATCCAAGTAATCACTTAAAGAATTGGCAGTTTTTAGCACCTCTAGGATCCAATTTTAGGTTATATGTCATTGGAAATCCAAAAGATACAGGAAACACCGTACTGCCTATGAACATCTAGCTGAGGAGGTAAGACATGCACAGCTGAGAAAGAGGACAGGTGAGCCTTTGGTCACTTGCAAATTGGGGTCAGAACTGCTCCATGGTGTGGATGGCATGGAAAAGAATTGGCTTCACTTACGAGTGCTTTAGGTAATTCATTCTGTACTGTGTTGGGCCCACAATGCATGTTCAGCAATTTTACTTAATACTCAACCAGGTAAAACAGCAGATTCCAGGATACCTCAGCACATCCTTACAATTCTGCACTTTAAGGGCAATTTGATTTTGCCATGGTTTCTCTTGCAATGTTAAAGGTTGGAGACAGGGCAGAGTGAAAGGTATTCTCTCTTAATGCTCCAGTTACACATAAAGGGTAGGTGTTCCTATTTCCTGCTCCCCTGCCTATATTATAGATAAGAAAACGGAGGCTCAGGGAGGTTGGGTTACTTGCTTAAGGTCACCCAGCTGCGAATCTGCCTCATTCCAAGGTCTGTGCTCGCTTGGTTATTCCAAAGAGCCTGAGAGGCTGAGTGTTTGGAAGCAGGACAAGCCTAGCTCTGAAACAGGTATGGGTAGGAGGACCGGGTCAGGTTGGGCCAAGAGCTGTGGGAGGAGCTGGGAACTGAGGGGCTCAGGACTCTGAGGCTGTTTTGGTGCTAAATAAAACAAAATAACAACATAGCACCATAATAAAACTTGTAGATTATTATTAATCAATTAATCAATACTCTGTTGAAATAGGAAAAATTCAAGGACAGATGAATTTCTACGTTGTTTTCTGCTCCCGGACCATCCCAACTGCTTTGCTAGGGCCCAGTCACTGTCTCCAGCTGAAGTCAGTTTTCCTTGAACTTACTGATGTTGATCTTACAGAGTTATAAGTTACGCTTATCACTGTGAAGACTGGCTGCAGCCAGCAGAGCTCGCTATGGTAGGCAATGGCTCATCTGAATCCAGCGCACATCTTGTTTTGAATTCCGCATAGGCTCAATTATGAGAGGCCTTCAAGGGAGCCTTATTTTGGGGGTGGCTTTATTCTTTTTCCCCATGCCGGGCACAGGCAGAAGCATCTCTCGGTGTGATCATCTTGCAGGCCGCTGGGCAGGTTTACAGCTTTTCCGACACTTCACAGAGAACTGCTGCTTACAGTATAATTTCTTTTTTAATATACACAAGACTGGAAATTAGGCATGAATGACAATGTGATCACATCTTAGGACGAGCGAAGGAAAGTCCCGAGAATGGAAGCTTTTGCAGGAGCTCACAGCTAGGGAGGCATGAAGCCCAGGCTGGAGTGTTCTGGTTGGAAATCAGTGTGATGCTCAGCTCCCTGCACAGCCTCACCTGGACCACCACCTTCCACCCGCTCACATCTCCCGTCCTCTGAGCTTCACTGCTCATGGCAGGCTTCCTCCACGGTGCCTTCCTGCCAGTGTGACCCACTCGGACCTTTCCCTGCCACGGCTGTGCTGCTCACACAAACGCTTGCTGCCCCCAGGTTTTGATGCTGGGACACCTACTAGGTTGATTAGTCTCTGTAGTTTGCACATGTTGTTCTCCCACCAAGTCAGGCTCTGTGCGTTACCCATGCTGCTAGCACAGCGCTTGGCACACGCATATTTTGAGTTGAGAACTTACTTTAAAACCATCTTCCAAATTTTGTACCCTGGCGGCTCATAGTCAGAGAACAGAGAAGTTAAGACTTTAGGACTCCACCACACTTTAAGGCCCACTGGGTGGGTCTGCACCAGCGCTTGCCTGTCTGTTCACACGTTCTCTCTCCCTGGGCCTGGACACGTCCTTCCTCACTTCTCACACTCAGCACTGTGTCCTTGCCCAAGTACAGACTCTCTTCCACTGCCCCCGCATCCCAAGGGAGCCCAGGATTGCTGCCCGTCTATGCACCTGTAGCTGTTTGTTCTTATTTCTACAACGGCATTATTCACATGAAAACCCTGCAGATGGATCTGAGTTCCTTAGGATAAGACCTGCCCTGACCATGTCTGAGGCTGAGCCCTGCAGACAACCTGGCCCACAGCAATTATATTTGCCTAATGAAGGCAAGGAATGTGGCTTACACAGACAAGAAAGCTCTCATTAAAATGTATTAGACACTAAGGATTCCATAGGAAACATACCTGGGATCATTAACAAGGTAAAGAATAGGATTTTTTTTTTTTTTTAAGATGTCTTAAGTTGCTCTGAGGCAGTGAGAGGGCAATTTGCTGCTGAGCAAAAACCTCCTCTGCCAGAGATTCAGGATCCACTGAGAAGTCAGGATGGCTTTGGAGCTTATCTACCCCATTACCCTGGTTCATGCCCTCCTCCACCCCTGCCGCGGCCTAAGCGGTGTCCCAAAGGCAGGGTGAGGGCTCCCGTCTCCCTGCTCCCACAGCTCTTTGTGGGTGTGTGTCCTGTCTGGGAGCTAGTGTGAAGTGTTGTCTCAGTGTGCGCTGTCCTCAGCGCCGGGGCTCCAGGAGGCTCCACTCTGACTTAGGCTTGCAACAAGGCCCAGCACATAAGGGTTCGGTACAGCTTGATCTAGGCATGAATGTGTGAGCAGAGCCTGTGACCACCGCTTCACTCCCACTCCGGGGATGGGGTGGGGAGGGCATGTGAGGAGCACTCCTCCTTCTGATCTGCTCAAGGCTGTACTCTCTGGACCCCTTTGTACCCCTTTCCCATTCCTATCCCTTTTGGACTTTTTGCATGCATGTATGTATGTATGTTTACAAGTGTGCACGTGTATGTGTGTATATGTGTGTGTATGAGTGTGTGTGTGTAAGTGAAGAATGGGGACAGTTATCTGAAGGCAGCTTAGACAAACTGAAATATGAAGAAGAGCTGTTTAATCGAATGCCTGGGCCTCTTTTCTAGGTAACATGTGCCCCCCGACAGAGCCAGCCAAAGGAAGGTGTGAGCCCCTCATGATGGCAGTGACTGCATGCTTTCTGGGTGCAAACACTTTGCAGGAGTATGTGATAATCAGTATGCTTTTAGTTATTGTTTATCCTGCACCCCGTGTTGCTGCCTAGGAAGGTGGAGGCTGACTGAGCTAGTGGTTGAGAAAGGCACAGAAAGTGTGCGTGCATCTCCCAGAACTGTAACGTCACACGTGTGGATGGTGGAGTTGCTTAGACACCAATGCCTGAGGTTCAGGAAGCTGCCGCATGCCCACGTCTTTGTGGCGCTAAAACCCCCGCACTCTTACACCTAGACAAGCTGATCAGGTGAAGGGGCTAACTCCAGAAGTGATAATAGAAGCATGATTTGTTTCACCCCTAATTCTATTAGGAAAAAACTGGCTGTAGTCCTTGAATAGAGCTCAATGACAATTTGAAGAGTACTAGAGAAGCCAATAAATTCATTAATAGGGAAGATTGTTTTAGCTAGACAAAAAGGTAATAGCCTTCATTGTAGTAGTTTAATTAGAAAAATAATAAACTCCCTTAGGAAGGATGAAAGCCCATAATTAAAAAGATGAGCTATTTGGAGGAATTCTGAATAGTACCTCTTCTCAGATTTGTTCCTAGCTGCTCTATTCATGGTCCAAAAGCACTTAGCAAGCTGAGGAATTAGTGGAAAATGTACTTACCTTCAGCTCTGAAGCAGGAACTTTCTGGGCAAAATGAATGAGAAGGAATGAGCTCGGAGAGAAAAGCAAGCAAGTGGACCTTGGGCCGGGAAGGGCCGGAACACATGCATCACCGGAGATACAGCTAGATTGTTATCATTACCTTGAATAAATGTCATCCCACATGAACTGTGCATTTCTGGTAATGTGAAGTTAGAGAAATGGAAAGACACAGGCAGATGAAGACATAATTTCCATGAGCTCAGCTAGTCAAGGTTACTTCCAATGTTTATGACAATGTTTCTAGCAGATTATGGAATTGTCATCTTGCTCTTTTTAAATGCCACTTTAGAGTTGCATTTATTTCCAAAAAGAACTAAGGAATTAAATAAATCAGGTTTTTGAGAAAATGGTTTTGGAAGAATTTGTTTTAAAACTTCTAGCAAACTTCTTGATATATCTTGCAAATATTTGGCTCATTAGTTTCATTAAGAAGAAGGGAATAGCCCCATTATCCCTATTTCACAAGACTAAACAATGAGAGTGAGGGAACTGTGTGCTCAAGTGCACATATGACGCATGGGTCCAGACAAGAAAAAAACCCTGTGTTCTGCCAATGCTTCTCCGTCCAAAAACTTCACAGAAACCGCCATAGATAAGAGCCATCATTCAAAGCAAAATTCTTCCATTTTAGGGTGCAATGCTGTGTGTTTTCTGCCTGCCGGGGCCTGCAGGGAAGGGCTACTGTTGGTGTCAGTCACAGCAACAGGAATGTTGAAGTGTGGAATTGGGCCAAGTTTCCAGATGGTCCTGGGTTTTTGGGGCTGGGGCCAAACCAGTGGCTGTTTCTGAAATGTGAGCTTCCGCCCCAAGCTAAAAAGTGTTCACACGTGGGTGGTCTGGAAAAGACCAAAGAGAGAGACCTGAGTTGAATTTGCCAGGCGGGTAAACACAATTTTATAAAGTGGCTTTTCCTGGCCTGTCACTGAGGCAAAGCGTGTTGTCCCCAGGAACTCATGGACCCAGGATCATCCCAGACTTCGACTGTTTCTGAGTAGGTGTGTGCCTCCGCAACATGCCCTGCAGCTGAAACCCGGCGTTCCACAGGCCTCTTTCCCTCTTCAGTCATGTAGTTGAGATAACAGAGAAAAGCAAGGCATTGCCTCCAGAAAGCTACTGTATTATCTGGAAAAGTAGAGACAACTCGTCCTTAGCCCTTGTACTTGCAGAAGCAGAGGCCCTTTGTCAGAGATCTGTGGATCTGATTAGCTGATTGGGAAAACCGGTGGCCAGCCCTGGGGAGTGGGACATCAGGCAGGCTGCAGACAATGGGAACACTGTCTGGAGGAGGCGAGCCTCGGCCAGTCCCCTGGGTGGGACCTGGGCCACTCTGATTGGGAGGGACAGGGAGAGACTTCCAGCAGGGGGAAGGTTGCCTAGGGGTTTGGCTAAGCCCTGCAAAGAGAGTAGCTATTGCTATTTTAGTTCTTCCATTTTGGGGGCTCATCTCTCTCCAATTTTTAGAGAAAAGGGGGCAAAAATCTCTTGGAAGGAGCAGAGTAGAAATGACAGAGTTTAGAACCAGAAGACACGCGGTCAGAGTTCTGAGTGCCAGGCCTCTAGGACTCCATTGCCTGGTGTAAAGCGGGCTGTTGTGAGAATTCAGACTAGGTTTGTAACAGTGCTCAGGGAAATCTAAAACCATATGCCAATACCTATGGTTTTTGTTATAACCCTGTCCAAACACTCTTGAAATAGTGGTATTTTAAAAGAAATATCTTTGCTGTAGGGAAACCCATTCAGCTGGTGATCATTGGAAAGCAAACTTGTAAGTGGAGATGCTGGTAGATGAACTCTGATGACCATGTTACAACTGCGCCACCATTCCGTCACCAGCCCAGTCTCTCTCTCATCCCAAGAGATACGATGGAAAAGGGGAATTTTAGGGAGCATTCAAAGGGCTTCTGTATGCACCCTTTCTTCTCTTCTCACACAATCGTATACAACTCGGTCACTTTCACAAATACAACTTCCTCCCCAGTGCTTGTCCCTCTCATGGAAAAGCTAAAGAGGCAGAGAGAGAGAAAGAGTGAGAGGGTGGGGGAGGCTTGGGAGGCAGAGCAAGGGGAAAGGAGATGCAATGGGGAAACAGAAGGGGACAGGAAGAAGAGACAGGGCCGGGGATCTGTCTTTTGTGTTTGCAGGACTGCCCCATTCTGACATAGAAAATGCTGGGGTTGGAAGGTAACTCACAAATGTCTTTGCTGAAATCTGCAGTGGAAGCAATGGTAAGAATCCACAGTGGGTTTCCTATGTGCCAGCCATGATGAATGTTCTCAGTGCTGTACATATCTCGACATTTAATCTTCTCAGCACATGTGTGAAGTCACCTTACAGACCCCATTTATAGATGGGGATCTGAGAAGTTCAGTGGCTCTACAGAGGCCATGATAGCACTTAAGACTTTCCTGTAAGAACGATGAGGAGTCAGGACTAGGATGACATGACCTGATTCAGGCTTTAAAGGATCCTCTCCACGGGTTGTAGGGGCCAGAGGGGAGACGGGACAGTGGTAGAGGTGGGTGCCTGGTGGGAGCTGCTTGAGGAGGAAATGGGAAGTGAGGAGAGGAGACAGCAAGCATGGACAAGCTCTTATGAAACATTTACATTTAAATTTTAAATAAATATTGTATATATTTAAGGTGTATATGATGTTTTGTGTGTATACTCACAGTGGACTGCTGACTGCAGCCAATCTACTGAACATACCCATCGGCCTGCAGTTGCCTTTCTGTGTGTGTGGTGAGAACACTTCAGATCTGCTCTCTTTGCACATTTCCTTTTCTTTTTCTTTTTCTTTTGTTTTGTTTTGTTTTGTGTTTGAGATGGGCTCTCCCTCTGTTGCCCAGGCTGGAGTGCAGTGGCACCATCTTGGCTCACTGCAACCTCTGCCTCCCAGGTATAAGCAATTCTCCTGCCTCAGCCTCTCAAGTAGCTGGGACTACAGGCGCACGCCGCCATGCCCGGCTAAGTTTTTATGTTTTAGTAGAGATGGGGTTTCACTGTGTTTCCCAGGCTGATCTCGAACTCCTGAGCTTAGGCAATCCACCCACCTCGGCCTCCCAAAGTGCTGGGATTACAGGCGTGAGCCACCATCCCCTGCCCTTCTCTTTGCACATTTCAAGCATACAACACATGATTAGCTACAGTCACCATGCTGTACCTCGGGCCTGCAGAACTTACTCCTCCTGTAACCCTGAAACTTCATGGCCTTTGACCAGCATTGCCCCAGGACCCCACCCCAGGCCCTGGCAGCCACCCTTCTCCTCTCTTCCTAAGGATTCGACTTTTTAATTATTCTACATAGAAGTGAGATGAAGACATGGCGAGGGCTTTCAGAAGTTTTGATGTGAGAAGGTGTGGAGGGGGAGTGCATAGGGAGTATTTTGATGTGAGAAGGTGTGGAGGGGGAGTGGATAGGGAGTGAGTGGGGCCTGCCTTTTTGGAAAAGACCTCGTGGGTAGGTAACTTGTTTGTGGATGAGAGTATCCAGCAGAAAGCGTGGGCTCGGTCAACAGGTCACAGTGCAGCGGAGATGGACACACATTCCTGAGCAGGCAGGGGGCGGATCCTGAGCACTAGAGGAGAGGGTGACCTTGGCCAGAATGGCGAGACAGCAGGCACAGCTGTAGGGAGGCCATAGCCTGGTGGAGGGAAGATGAGGGCCTGCCTCTTGATTGCATATTTTCTCACGGAAGTACGAGGCAATCTTATTTTAGTCTGATATATAAACAATTGTGTAACTGCTCCAATATCTGAGCTACCCCAGTGAATTAGGAGAGTGTATTTGACATATGAGCATGACTGACAGGGCTCACTAAAGCCATGCCACCCAGCCTAAAGAGGACCAGCCAAGGACTCAAATGTACCTCCCACCCATAAAGCCAAAGGAAGCACATTTCCAGTCTACATTTCCCATTTGGGCCCACTTTTCAGTCTTCAAGGAAATATTTTGAAATCCATTTGTAGAACACCTCCACTTGCACAAAAAGCCCCACAGTAACGATTGGCACAGAGCTGGTGCTCAGTAAGACTCTCCTTGAGATTTTTATTGTCTTCATAATAAAAGATGACACTTAGAACGGGATCACTTGGCCCTTTCTCTTCTTATCTCCTCCCAGTTCAAAATGCTTGCATCTTTTAATAGCCAGCATTCTCTTGGATCTGCAGTTGGGCTCAACGCACTCAAGCCTTAGCACAGTATTCTTTGTAGTTTTAGCCTTTTTCTGGAAAATCGGCTTAGTCTGCCCACCATAGCCACTCTGCTTCCTGTTATAACGCCACTTTCCCTGGGCATACAGAGAATCCTTGCCCTTCTTGTACTGTGTCACTTTGTGGGGTTGGTGCTTGCCACACTTCTTACAGAAAGTCTGGTGGGTTTTAGGGACGTTAACCATGCTTGCGTGAGCGCTATCGGCACGGCAAGAAAGAAGAGGTGCCGGAAACGGAAGTATCTTCTTTTGCTTTTTGAGACACAGTCTCACTGTGTCACCCAGGCTGGAATGCAGCAGTGCAAACTTGGCTCACTACTGCGTCGACCTCTCAGGCTCCACCAATCCTCCTGCCTCAGCCTCCCGAGTAGCTGGGACTACATGGATGTGCCACCATGCCCAGCTAATTACTGTATTTTCTGTAGTGATAGGGTTTTGCCATGTTGCCCAGGCTGGTCTTGAACTCCTGAACTCAAGTGATCTGCCGCCTTGACTTCTCAAAGTGCTGAGATCACAGGTGTGAGCCACTGCACTTGGCCCCTGTTCCTGACTTCCTGTCAGCCCTCTGTTAATTTCCAAATACATTTGCCTCTTCATCCTCACACCAATCTCATGCATTGCATAAAGGATAATGAAGATTTATCCATTCATTTCCTCACTTATTCAGCTCTCATTCGATGAGTATGTACCACGCGCCGGGCACCATGCAGGTGCTGGGGATGCAGGTGTGTATGACACAGCCTCTGACCTAGAAGAGTTGAGTATCTAGTTGGGAAGAAGGACCACATAGGTGTAAGTGTGCCACACAAGTGATAAGGGCTAGATCCAAAGTCTATCTAAAATATTTGGGGAACTCTGATGTAAAAGTACCTATTCCTCCTTTAGGTGAGTGTAAGGATGTCTTCCTATGTTGTTTAAGTTGCATTGTGAGGGGTAAATCGAATTTTGCTAAGCAGATATGGTTGGGAAGAGGATCGCAGGAGGTGCAGGAAAGCAATTATGAAAGTGCGTGTGGCAGGATCTAGGAGGAGTGGAGAGTGAACGGGGAAGGGTGAGGGAAAGGACATGCCAGTCTTGGTGGTTCACAGTATGGACTGTGGAGCCAGACTGCCCGGGTGTGGATTTTGGATCTGCAGCTGATTTTGAACCAGTTACCTCACCTTTCCAGGCCTTTGCTTTTTAGTTTCCTTCTCACTAAAAGAATATTAATACCTCCTAGCTGTGGCAGAGACACTGTGCTCACCAAACATCACATGTGATCCTCCAAATTTCTCAGTTTTTCTTTCTTTTTTCTTTGAGATGGAGTCTTGCTCTGTTGCCCAGGCTGGAGCGCAGTGCCTTGATCTCGGCTCACTGCAAGCTCTGCCTCCCGGGTTCACGCCATTCTCCTGCCTCAGCCTCCCGAGTAGCTGGGACTACAGGTGCCTACCACCACGCCAGGCTAATTTTTTGTGTTTTTAGTAGAGATGGGGTTTCACCGTGTTAGCCAGGATGGTCTCAATCTCCTGACCTCGTGATCCGCCTTCCTCGGCCTCCCAAAGTGCTGGGATTACAGGTGTGAGCCACCGCGCCTGGTTCACATTTCTCAGTTTTTCTTATAGTTGGGTTACGAATGATCATGTGACTAGTTCTGGCCTTAATGGACTGTGTGTGGAGTGTCAACTCCAAGCTGAGCTGGTGAAGTGCCTGTGTGACTCACCTGTCACTTTTGTTTTTCCTTGTGTGGGTACCTTGGAGGCCATGTGTTTCATGTGATAAAACTACGGGGGCTTCTCTCAGGCTGGGTCCCTGAGCAACAACGTGGAGCAGAGCCCTCTTGGATCCACATTGCACACATCATGAAAAATAAACCTTTGTGTGGTAAGCTATTGATAACTTTAGGATCAGTTTGTTACTGCAAACTTAGTTTGCCCTATCCTAACCAGTACATTACTAGTTAGTGCTGTTTAAATGAGTTAACTTGTAAAGCATTTAGAACAACACCTGGCATATAGTGAGTGCTACACAGGAGACCGTTAAACTAAATACAAGGATAGAGGGTGGGGAGTGCTGAGGACATGGCAGGAGTTAAGCCAGCACAATTTGGATCATAAAAATATCTTGTATACCATATAAAAGAACTGAATTTTTAACTAGAGGAGTATATTAAAAGTAGGTAAGTGCTTTGTCAATGTGGACAGAGAGAGTAAAGGCAGTGCCTAGCACATATAAATGCTTGGTGATGACTGCTTTAGTTGTTTCATTGTTGTCTTGTAATCGCAGGAGTTCCCTGACTGCTGGGTAGGGGCAGAGCAGGGGGCGACTTTGAGAGTGCAAGTTACTCATCGAAGGAGAGGTGGTGACACCAGCCACAACCTAAACCTGAAGGCTGTTTTAAGAATTGTGTTTATTAGTTTATTAATTTAGGGAGGTAGGTGGTGGCTATTTATGAAATAGGGTTTGTGCCTTAGCCCCACTGTGTGCAGATCACCACCACTGGGGCTGGAGAAGCTATAAAACAAAGAGTGGGTGAGACCAGGTCACGGAGTCAATGTCAGAGCCTGGGGAGAGCTGAAAGCCACACTGGAAATCTTCTATCTCTGTATAGCCCTCCTTGCCTCACCAATGAAGAAACTGTCCCCAGAAAGGCTGACTTGCCTTCCTGCCCAGCAGCTGCTCTGAGGGGATAAAAGGCTGAGGCTGCCTCTGCTTGCCTGTGCCTGCTGTCTGCACAACAGCAAGCACTTTCTCTCTGCCTTCTCTGCTTCAAGTAACCCTTAGTTCTTCTGACTTCTATATTTTCATCCCAATAATCACTTATTGTTTTCTCTTCCCGAACTTTTCTAGTATTCCCACATCCCTCCCAGATTGGAGCTTTGGTTAGACACAGAGACAGTCAATGTCCTGCAATGGATGGTTCACTCAGACTGGATTATTTGAGACAAGTTTAATAAAAGGGTCATTTACAAAGATGTAAGCAGAGTAGAGCAAGCCATACCGCAGAGCACGGAATCTGGGCACAGCCATGCCTCTCAGCTGCCCTGGGTCTGAGGCATGTATCCAGCCTGTGGTGACCTGCAGGGGAGAGCTGGGAAAATACCCTGTCTCCCCTCTCTCCTGTTTGACTCTTGGGTTTAATCCAACCAGAAGCCGGGGCAAGGAAGTTACTGATATATCCCTTGTGCTCAGCCTCTTGGGCCACAGAGCTGGAGGGAGAGGCTGGACAGGGGATCTGGAGAGGCAAATGGTAGATTTCTGCACTATTAAATACAATGTGTGGAGGCCATTGTTTGGACTGAGCTTCTGCACCTGGCCACAACAGATCAGACGAAACTAGAATGGAGTCACTTGTGCCAGGTGCCATATAACCAAAGTGAGCCTAGAAATGGGCCTGTTTCCCCCAAAAAACTGGGAGATTCAGAGCAACCAGTCCTAAGGGGCCCAGTCAACCTAAGTCAGTGACTCTATAAGGAAAGTAATTCTGAAACAACCCATCTGCTTTTTGTTCCCTCTTTCTGCTTCTTCAGCCTCTTCTGCCTATAAAGCCTACCTCCTCTGCCCAGCTATCAATGCCCCTTTCATAGATGGGGTGCCACCCAACTCATGAATCATTAATAAAAGCCAATTAGGTCTTTAAACACAATTTGTTGAAATGTTTTCTTTGACAGCACAGATGCACACAGTCCATAAAAGCTGGCTCAGAGAGGAGTTTGCAGAGATGGCAGTGTGTTTGCCACCTGGCAGGTGCCATCAGCCTGGGCCCCCCAGCACCATGTTTGGGGTCTCAGCTGTGGTCCCAGGCTCCGATTAGTGCTTATGCAGGGCCCAGGTTTCCCAGGGACTGGGCCCCTGTGTCACTGAGCAGTGGCTGTGGTTACGCAGGAACAGAATGGCTCTGCGACAGGAATGCCCGTGCAATCCACCAGGCTTAACCTCATGGCAGCGCTGCGGTAGTTTATAGCTGGGGAGAGGGTGCTTTGTGCTCTTGGAAGATATGTGTAGAGTAGGGTTTTCAAACTTCAACAGCCCAGAACCCCAGAATGCTCCTTTCACACTTGGCCAAGTCGTCTAAGATGCTTCCCTTGCACTGCCTGTCTCCATCGGGGAGATAGTACAGCTATTTGTGATCATTTAAATGGAAAAAGAATAAGTTTCCAAAACCTTTAGAAACAAAAAGAACTGAGAGTAAATTCTCCAGTTTGGGACTGACCATTCCGCCAATTCCTTTTGGTTTTAGAGCCTCCCTGGAAAAGGAGAAGGAAAGCATTTAGCTTTGTTTCCGTCCATATGCACAGGACCGATTGTGATTTCTTTTAATCAAAAACCTGTAGCAAATCCCAGGCTCTTAGAACTAGAAGGCACCTAGAGGTCCATGGGTTTAAACACTTTGATGTGCAGAGAAGGAAACTGAGACCCCCGGGAGGTGAAACGACACTCTCAGCGTCACCCTGGGAGGCTGTCTCATACCAGACATGGTTTGTTCGTGTCCCGCATTTCCCTCGTGTTCCCTTTGACATAGAAATGAAATAACTCGAGTTTGCTTTCTGTGATGCTGTGGGAGTTTAGCTCCTTCCCCCAGGTGCTGCTACAATTTCATAACCAGTGTCTGGTGGCTGCTGCCAGCCTCGGAGTGTGGGAGCTGCTGCCCCTGGCATCTTGTCTTTGCCCTGGACCATGCCTGGTCCCTGAGGCTGGAGGCTGTTCCCATGCCTCTTTGCTGGCGTGCACGTGAGCCTTCCCTTTAGTCTCCTAGCACAGAGGACTCAGGGAGGTAATGACAGTCTCCAGGCACAGAGACCGGCTCATGGCCACACTGCACTGCAGGCTCACTCAACATCCGCTAAAAGTTTGGGTGCTGGCAATTTAACAATTCACAGAACAGTCACTGCTCTACGACTTTCCACTTTAGGACCAGTCCTTTTTATCCACAAGGTGCTTTCTCTTTCCTTCTCCTCCCTGACCCCACCTTGAGAGGAACCTGGGTCTCCAGAGCAGAGTCTTTTCTGTTATATCCTCTGCAGCTAGGATCCTTGGTGTCTCCCTTTTATTCTCATTGGGCCAGAGGAAAACAGAACATTCTTTTAAACAAAGACACCTGTCCAAGAAAAATACCTCTTTACTTGATTTTCTGGAGCAGTGATTTTCACAGTGTGGTCAGCAGACAAGCAGCTGGAGGATCGCCTGCACATGCATAGGACAGCAGCAGACCGGCGGTCAGAACTGGGGTGTGGGTGGGGGACCGCCCTCCAGGGGCTTCCGAGGCCCGGGAGTCTGAGAATCTCTGTTGCACAGCAATTAAACTGCCTGTCTCAATGTTCCATCTCTTCTAGGTCTGCGCATCTCTGCTTAAGCAAGAGGCCCAATAAAGTGCTTTCCTAAACAAAAGAAAGTTACTCCCAGTAAGTTCAAGGAAAAAACAAAAATAATCTAAGATTTATGACTTTTGGAAGACATTGTATTTTAAAAATGGATCATGGTGTAGATATCAAATTGTATAGTATTTAGACTCCATTGAATGTAATAAGTGATGTAACAGCTTAAAAGAAACATTTACAGTATGCTGAGAATGACATCCTTTGCAGTTACTTAAGCCTATAATGAAAAGTGCTGGAAGTCACCTGGGAAGTGTACTCATTGAGGAGGGAGATTTCCTACATCCTTTTGGCGGGGACCTGAGCACAAATGTTTGAAGACTGCTGGTCTATCCCATCCAAGCTATACTCCGTAATGTAAACACTGTTTGTGCCCTGTGGCTGGCCTGAAACACTGTCTTCCAAGCTGTGTGGCATCTCCCATCCATCCGCAGCCTCCATCAGCTCCCGTGACTCCACCCGGCTCCCTTCCAGAGGGAGGGGATTGCTCTGCTGCTCTCTCCTGGGACTCCCCTTGTGCTCACCTCATGGTAGTGTGATGGCTTCCTGCAGCGTTTTCTCTGCTAGCACGTGAGCTCCTCAGGGGCAGGCACCTGGGCCTCCCTCATTTTGCCCTCTCTCCCTTGCAGGTGTTTTTGTTTAAGTTATCTGGTAACTGGTTTCATTTCTCCTTGGGTAGCAGCTTTAACATTTTTCTTGTTCCTTAAGACATCAGTGTATGTCACATTGTCACTATGCTATGTGTCTGTGCAAAGCATGTAATGCACATTTGTCAAAATAGCCTACTTTGCTGAATGCTCATAGAAAGTTGGTATGCACATTTTCCCCTCTAGGACAATACTCACCTCAGGCTTGAGCTGCACTGTCCCTTCCCCTCTCTGAGCACATGCTGCTCCTTGGATCAGCCAGCGAGGCCCCCATGTGCCAATGGAGCCAAGAGGACTCCAGAGACTTACAACAGAAATGCAGAGCTGCTCAGCCACCCACAGACAGAGTTCCACTCTTGGATGGAAACTCAGAGGAATCCACACACAGCTGTTGGCTGAATTTTTATTTGACTTTACCAAGCAAGTAAAAAATTATGATTCAATGCCTTGCATAGTGACTTCAGGTGAGAAAAGATGCTGGTGGGATACCCCCCATTTGTTAGGGGCTCTGCACCCCAGTTGTCACTGAATTCCAACTTCTGCTGCTTCTGTGGTTGGTTCATTGATGCTCACATCTTTCCTGCTTGTGTACATGTTTTTTAATATATGTACACAATTATTGAACAACCTCAGGTCACCGTGGATAATAGTGCCTAAGATCTAAAATAAATGCCATGTTCCTTCCAAGATACAATAGATATGGTGGCATGCCCCATCAGGATGTTTGGGATTTGATATCATTACTTGTGTCCTAAAAAAATTGGATTTTAGGTTATGTAATAAGGTTGCTCATAGGAAGTTCCCAGGTAATAAACTCTATGGGGCTGCAGAGAGAAGAATCTGAACTGAGGACCACTGGTAGCTGGCAGCTGGCAGTTCTGAAGTAGATTTTACAGTGTGGGGACATTAAACTACAACAGAACCTGCCTTGGGAACTTGGATCATGCACCTGAACAAGATCCAAAATCAGGTTGTGGAGAACCAGACTGTGGTATATGGATGCATGTACATGTGTGTATATGCATGCGCACATGGTGTGCAATTGGAGTCTCTGTGAGATCTGTGGATATGTAGCTTCCTCAGTAGCTTTCTATGGGCTGAGCTGTATTGTTGTGTGTGGTTAGGCCAGGGTGTAATATGGTAGTCACCAGCATGGCAAAACTTAATAATAGTCTGGAATTAAAAAGAGGAAACTATATCAGCCAAACCCAAATGTTTAGGGGAAAAGATAAGTAATAAAGGCGTTTAAATGCTCTTCTTACTGAGGAAAGGGAAAACCATGGGCAACAGAGGATCTTCAAAGAGGAGCTATTGAGATCTTTATAGTAGAAGAATAAATGTTGAGAAAGAGAAGGAACCATGAGTAGAATTAAGAATTACAGAAGAATTTCCAAATTAAGATAAGGTTAAAAATGAGAAGGATGGCCAGGTGCAGTGGCTCACACCTGTAATCCCAGCACTTTGGGAGGCCATGGAAGGTAGATCACAAGGTCAGGAGATTGAGACCATCCTGGCCAACATGGTGAAAACTCGTCTCTACTAAAAATACAAAAATTAGCCAGACATGGTGGTAGGCACTTGTAGTCCCAGCTACTCAGGTGGCTGAGGCAGGAGAATCACTTGAACCCAGGAGGCAGAGGTTGCAGTGAGCCGATGTTGCACCACTGCACTCCAGTCTGGGTGACAGAGGAAGACTCCATCTCAAAAAAAAAAAGAAAGAAAAGGACAAGTAATTTGATCAAATTAACACATGTAAGAAAACAGAAAAAGAGGCAACAATAAATTAAATGAATAGTACATCTAAACAGGGAGGCAGTCAAATAAGTGCCATAGTCAGTACACTCCATGGGACACTCTGAAGTCTTCTGGCAGAAGCAGGGACAGCAATTTGGGTTAAAAAACAAACCTTGGCCAGGTGCGGTGGGTGGCTCATGCCTGTAATCCCACCACTTTGGGAGGCTGAGGCAGGTGGATCATGAGTTCAGGAGTTCAAGACCACGCTGGCCAAGATGGTGAAACCCTGTCTCTACTAAAAATACAAAAATTAGCCGGGCATGGTGGTGGGCGCCTGTAATCCCAGCTACTCGGGAGGTTGAGGCAGAGAATTGCTTGAACCTGGGAGGCAGAAGTTGCAGTGAGCCGAGAGTGGGCCACTGCACTTTAGCCTGGGCGAAGAGCAAGACTGTCTCAAAACAAAAACAAAAACCAAAAAAAAAAAACAAAACCAAACAAACCTCATCTAAAAGGAAAGCTATGTTCTCACTTGTAAGTGGGAGCTGAACAATGAGAACACATGGACACAGGGAGGAGAACAACACACACTGGAGCCTGTTGGGGGAGCGCAGTGGGGGCGAGAACTAGGAAAAGAGCTAGTGCATGCCGGGCTTAATACCTGGGTGACGGGTTGATGGGTGCAGCAAACCACCATGGCACATGTTTACCTGTGTAACAAACTTGCACATCCTGCACATGGACCCCGGAACTTAAAAATAAAATAAAATAAAATAAAATAAAAATAAAATAAAGAAGGAATGTTAAGTAAAAGTGGAAAATAAAGTGCTTGAAACACAGATACCATGTAAATGCACATAAAAATGGCCGTGACAATATCAGTCAATATGAAACGTGTGAATGGTATTAAGAGGAAAAAGATGGATGTCGTCATTACAGAAGGAACGATGAAGATAATATAATATCCAAAAATATGTATAGGCAACACAAAATACTAGCTGAATAAATAATGGAAAATCTATTAGAACCGCAAAGAAAACTTAAAAATGACGGAAACATAGTGGGAGATTTAATACTCATCTTGTGAACAGTTCCGCTAAGCAAAACACAAGGAATTGAGTGATGTGAAAAATAAACTTGAGTATCTGTGCTTTTCATGTGGGTATACATGGTACGCTTGTGCAAAAATGTACATGTATGTATAAACTTTGTATCTCAAGGATAGAAAGTATACGTTTCACATATCCATAATATATTTTTTAAAAATCACGTTAGTACATAATCCAATAAAATTTAGTTTATTGGTATAGTTTGTAATCCAATAAAATTGCCTCCCCAGCAATGCCGAACTGTGAGTCCATTAAACCACTTTTCTTTACAGATTACCCAGTCTCAGGTATGTCTTCATAGCAGTGGGAAGACGGACTAATACACCAGACTCTCCAGATAGCATGACACTCTGAAAGTAATATATGGCCTTAGGCAAAAGAAAAAGAGCACCTTCAGCATAACATGGTCTTGGAGTAAGGTAGCCTTAAGGTGGTGCCTTTAAGCTAGAAAAAAATTATGCCAATAATACTAAGGGTGTGCTGTGTACACCTGCCAGCTAGGCAATTAGGCTTCTAAGAATCTCAGGGGCATTCTCCCATATCAGTCTCACATGGGACTTAAGGTAGAAATACCCATCCTGGAAAGAAATGTGGTTATCATTTTTGTTTAATGGGGTGTGGTTGTGACTTTTGTCTAATTTGATACATAAGAAACTCACAAAAGTTTTAAAGGAAGCATGTCATCTTTGATTGAAAGGGACAAAGACAAAGATAATAAAAAGAATGTGGGCCCTTATGTTCCTATGAAAGGAAGCAGGCTGAGAAATTTCTTCGCTATATACTTGGGCCATTTCTTATGGGAAAAGAAGGGTGATTCAGAGCATGGAGTCAAAAATCACTGGGAACCACTCCCAGCTAGTGGAACTGGAGCCACTAATCAAGAAACTGGTGACGTGTCCATGGATTTGACAAGTGCCCTGGGCCCACGACTACATGCCTCCTCCCTCCCCCTGCTTTGAGATGGGAGGAACTACAGCAATGATCTGATGCTTGTCCCAGGCTGGGTGTATGTGAGGCCCATGATTCACAGATCTTCAAACTGAGATAAGCCACCCAAGAAGTTGCACCCAAGGAACCCCACTGGAGGAGAGTTATCTTGTGATTTGGATGACAATATCCTGGAATCTGAGTTGATGCTTTCATGAGATAAAGAGTTTTGGGGTCTTTGGAGAGGTTCGTGTATTTTTTGCAGGGGGAGAACATGGATTGTTCTGGCCAGAGGGGAGACTGTGTTCAAACATAACCTCAAGAAATTCCATTCTGCTCTGTATGTTCATGACGGTTCTCTCCTCAGGAGCTCATGTCTCTTCTGCTTGATTATGGGATGGGTCTATGACTACTTCAGCTAATACCAATATGAAAGAAGTGGGTGTGGGAACTTTTGAGTTAATATTGAATGAATACCTGCAGTGGCAGCTTATTCCCTCTGGAGGAAGCTGTCATGCTAGGAGGAAGCTCTAACAGCTACATGAAGGGGACAACATGAAGGAAAAGTGTGGCACCTAGTCAGCAGCCCCGCTGAGCTCCCCACCCTCAGCCAGCAGCACCTGCTGGCCACATAAGTGAGCTATCATGGAAGTGCCACCACAGGCCCAGCTGAGCTACTCTGACAACAGAAGTCCAAAAAGCACAGGCAAGTCCCCACCACGCCTGCCCACATTGCAAAATCGTGAGCAAAGAAATGACTCTTTTTTTTGTTTCAATCCACTAAATTTGGGGATGATTTGTTATGCAGCAATTGATAATCTATACCAGAAGTAATTTTTTTCTCTGAGAACTTAACTTGCTGCTAGAAAGTCTCAATGATGAATTTAAAATGGAAAACGCTGACAACAAAAAGGGGATTGCAAGAAAAAATGGATTAAAAACAACTAGAGAATGGAGGCAGGTAAAGGGAGTTTGAGTATGTTTTTGGAACGGAATTATTTTGGAGATCTTAAATGTTGAATATATAATTATAAAATCTGAATTGGGTTCATTTGAGAATTGAGATCTATTTAAAGGCAAAGTCTTTGAAAACTATGAAAAAGTGTAATCATTTGAAAGAAAAAAAGGGCAAAGTATGAGGTCCTTTTTGAGAATAAATCACAAACCCAGACAGTGGAAGAGGCTGGTTGGGTTGATCCAGAACTAGTTCTGCACCTAAGCATTGAAAGAGCACTTTTCTTATTTCAATTGCATGTGATCTAGTGGAAAAACAGAATCTTAGCAATCAAAATCTATTCATTTTGGTTACATTCACAGTTGATTCTGAAGCCAGGCTGAATCAATTAAGTGTTGAACTATTGGGAAGGATGGGGATATCTATCCATATATAGCATGGATGTAACATCATGTGGGGATATTGGTTTTTCACTTCCAGCCATATCCATATGTATAACATATGGGAAGGATCCATGATGTTGTGGCATCATGGGTATGCTTAGGTAGAATATGTCATCCCTCTTCTAATCTGACCTAATTTTCTACTTATTCATTGTTTCTCCTTTGAAGAGACCACTTGGTGAAAGCTTGGGCTGATGTTCGTGGCCCCTTTGGGCCTCTAGTGAGGTCCAGGTGGCTATTTTGGCATGAGGCCAGAATCCAGGACAGCTGCAGCTTCCCTGGGCTTTTCTGTGCCTTGTCTTAGGGCTGAAGTCCTTCTGTAATGACAAGCTCTCTGTAAAGACAGCAATTGTAACTGGCTTTAAAATGAACTGGAGCGGGTGGCAGCATGCCTCACCCCCACCTGGAATTGTAACTAATTTAGGGTCTAGTGTATCATGCCTCAGCCTTGCAGGCAGTGAGGATGAGCCTTTACAAACTGGGGCAGAAAGTACTGCTCACTGGGCTCAAGTGGGGTGGGACCTGGCCCCAGCAGGGCTTAAGTACATTATGATTGGAAAAGAAGGGCATTGTTTCTAAGCAGGAGGTTAAAGGTTGGTTTCCAGATGGGTGTTGTAGCAGGCCTGGTTGCCATAGCCACCAGCAGGGGTCCTGGGGGCCAAGTGGACTAAGTCTTGGTTGATGAACAGAAGTCAGAGTCAGTGTAGGGCAACGTTGGGTCTGGGGCTGGGATTTGAGACCACACTGAATGAGCTTGTAATGTGACTGACAGTGCCACAGAAACCTGTGGCCAATGGTTTTATCTGCTCCAAGTGAACCCCTTCCTGGAGAGGGTGTACCTGTCTGTGCCAGTCCTGCCTGGCCTCCAGGGCTCAAACATCAGAGGCAGCTTCTGGTAAGTCACATGTCAGGCTGCCTTCTCATCATCTGGCGGTCCCTCATTGGGATTTCTCTGGATTTGGGTCTTCCTTACAGGACGGGTACATGGTTGTAAGAATTTTCTGTCTTCCTTTCCTCCCTCTTCCCCACTTTCCCTCACTCTGGGGCCAGGGCAGGCATCATCACCCTGGGCTGAGATCTTGACTGTGATGAGATCAGCAAGACAACACCTGTGCTGTCTAGTATGAAAAGCTGTCTCCAAACAGATAAGCCACTGTCATCGTTCCAGATGCTAGTTGTCAGTAGAATCCATGTTTAGGCTGAGAATGTTTAGGCAGCTTGGAACAGAGTTATATCCCAGAGGATAAAAGGGGGTCTCTCAGCATGCTGTGACTCTCCCTGTACATTCTGTAAGTCACTAAAAAGTCGTGGCATCACACAACGCAGAATCCACAGTGGCATCATGGCCAGTGGAAAGGGGTTCGCTAGTCCATACAGATGACTCCCTTGGCACTCTTCAGCTGTGACGCTCCCTGCCTGCAAGCTGGGCTTATGTGCTCATCACTTTGGGAACTGCAAGCCACAGCTACAGGCAGCTCCTGGGGAGGTGGGGGTCGGGGGTGTCAGAGAGCAGACAGGAATGTTTGCTTATTGCCTGAGGAAAGGCTCAGGAGTGAGGGGAGAGTGGTAGATGTCATCTTGGGTAATTGTTATGAGGCTTGCATTGGCAGTAGGGTGCCCCCTCCCACTTTCTTGGACATGTAAATGAAGCGGAACATTCTCTTTGTAGTGTGTGTGTGTGTCAGGTCCTGCCTACTCCTCTGGAAGACCCCCTTTGCATGCGTGGCCACTCCATGAACACACACTCAAGGCATCTACAGTAATGGGCAGCCACACAGCAGTCGCAAAGCAGAGCTGACAGGTATTTGGTTTATCTGATTAGTCTAGACAGCCATACAAAAAGCTTTCTGGACAACAGCATCCTGAAAACACAGTGACCAGTAGGATACCTGTGGCCTGTGTGTGTGTCTACACTGTCAGGGAAACATTGGCAGGCAGGGACTGGGCTGACGCCCTTTGAGGGCTGAGGATGTGGAAGGCACTGTGCTGAATACTCTTCACACACCTGCCAGCCCTTTCCCTCACTGTGCATACACAGGAACTTCAGGAATCGATTCTTTCATTCTCTATGATACTGAGGACACAGGCGGGAGTGGAGGTGCGTGGAGCTGCCTGTCACTGCCGGTGGTGTCCCCTAGAGCAGCAGCTCTCAGACTTGGATTCTGATTCGAATAAAGTAGGGATCATTTAAAAATTTCCAGGCTGGGTGCGGTGGCTCACGCCTGTAATCCCAACACTTTGGGAGGCCGAGGCGGGCAGATCACAAGGTCAGGAGTTTGAGACCAGCCTGACCAATATGGTGAAACCCCGTCTTTACTAAAAATATAAAAATTAGCTGGGTGTGATGGCATGCACCTGTAATCCCAGCTACACAGGAGGCTGAGGTAGAATTGCTTGAACTCGGGAGGTGGATGTTGCAGTGAGCCAAGATCGTGCCACTGCACTCTAGCCTGGGCGACAGAGCGAGACTCCGTCTCAAAAAAGAAAAAAAAAAATTCCAACTACTCCTTCCTCTCCCTGCAGCAACTGAGCCAGAATCTCTGGGAGTGCCGGTTAGGAATCTCTCTCTCTGTCTCTCTGTGTGTGTTTCATGCTTCCCTGGAGATTCATGTCCATGGTGGTGAGATGGAAGACCTTCATCCAAGAGGAAGCACATGCTGGGTGGATATAATTATCTCTGAATCTTTTACCTGTTCTGGTTTTTCCGCCTCTTTTCCTGGTCTTTGTAGGTTGGGACTGGTGGTTCAGGACAATCCTAGATTTCTTATTTGGAAATTCTGTGAATATATCTACACAGACAGGTGGATTTGGATTTGAGTCCTGGCTGAGCCTTCTAAAACTCTGAAAGTGAAATTAACCAGTGCACTTGGGGTAGAAACACAGATTTATCTTCTATCTGCTCTTCTTAGCTATGTTCATTCTGGTTTCCAATTGTCTAAGATCCCCAGTGCTTACTCACTCCAAATGGCAGGTGCAGAGAGGACTGGAAATACAGATGGGTTCTTGTGCCATGGCTGTGCTCTCCTTGCCATATGGGGTTGCTGTTGAAGGTAGGTCCTGCACACTCACTGGGAGCTGCCATCAGCACCGATGGTCTTCTGAGATGAGACCCTGCACTGGCTTCTGTGGTGCCCCACACTTGCTTCCCTAAGGCTTTACTTATTTTCATTCACAGCTGCATGCTAAGCCATTGTCCCTCTGAGGATGCCACCATGCCAGGCTAGTTGAGTTCCCCAGGGTCCCCCACCCTCAGGCACACACTGCCCAATCCGGCAGTTCCTACCTGTCCTCAGTTCCTGGGGGTGAGCTCAGGCCACCAGCCCACACTGCCTTGTCACCACCGTAGGCTCTTGGGTCAGTCTATTTCATAATTCAGGATCTCAAGGCCAGGGATTGGACTTGATCCCTTTTCTCTCAAAACACCCTTGGACTTTAGTCAGTGGGCCCCTCCCCTCCCCAGGGCTCTTTACCCAGAGGAGAGGTGACTTTTGCTTAGCTGAATGCACATGCGGTCCTGTTACAACTCCTGCCCTGGGGCAATAGATCCTATAGGGGATATGTTTTAAAACAAAGTGTCTGAACAAAACCAGCCCTACTTCATCCTCTTCTGGTCGGCAGCCTCTGAGATGGGACCCCGGCAGGCTGCCATTATACTCTGGGTAACCCTCTTCTCTGCAGTGTGGGCAGGACATGGTGACTCACTTCTGATAGATGGAATATGACAAAACTGGTGGGATATTGCTTCTGAGATGAGGGTGTAACGAAGAGTGTGGCCTCCATCCTGGGGTCTCCCCTTCCCCGTCCTCTCTCACACACTTGGTGTGAAGGAAGCAGCTGCCATGTTTTGAGTCACTCTGGGAAGAGGCCACATCCCAAGGAACACACAACTTCAGCCCATGGGTGACAGGGTTTGAGTGCTGCCAACAGCCTTGTGAGTCAGCCTGAAACCAGATCCCCTCAAGCTGAACCTTGAAACAACCACAGCCTTGGCTGGCCTGATGGCAGCCTGCGAGGGACCCGAGCCAGAGTCATGCAGCTAAGCTGCACCCAGACTCCTGACCTGAGACCCCCGGAGACAACGAGTGCTTGCTTTAATCTGCTCAATGTTGGGGTCATTTGTTATACAGCGCTAGATAACCAGCACACTAGCTATCACTTTGGGCCTACTGAGTATTTGGGGAAGCCGTTGGCAGCTTATCTTTACCCCACTCCCAGCCACCCAAATTGCAGTCTCCATCCCAGGCATCACTCTGTCTTCACAAACACCCAGTAGGACTATGTGATTGTACGGAAGACACCTACACTTCCTGGCCCTCCATTCCTTCATCTGTAAAATGGCAACAGCAGTAATACCAGCTTCGCCAGTTCAGCACCCTGCAGGGGCGCAGGAAGGAGCTGACTATTCCTTTCCTCTCCCTTTCCTCTCCTTAGTATAAGTTATGACTTAAGACAAATCACAGATTCACCAGAGAATTATTAATCATCCAGAACATATTTCTGAAGTGTTTGAGAGGCTTGATGCTGCACATTGGTAGAATGTGTTAGACTGAACCATGTGACATTACCATTTTTGTAGGTCAGAGATGTTTACTGCTGTCTTGCCACTGCTGGCTACAACGCATGGCACGAAGAAGAGGCCGGGAGCACGCGTATGGATTTGCTTAACTCCCTGAGTAATTGACTGTCTTCTTTGTACTGGATTATAAACATCTGTCTACTGGAAAATTCCTGTGTGTCCTTCAAGGCCCAGCCCAAGTATCACAGCATCTGGGAAGCTTCCTTTGACCTTCTCAGCAGGACTGACTGTGCCTTTATCTCACCTCCCCTGTACTGTGGCTTCTCTGCACCCACTTGTCACGTTGTTGATTTGCATGTCATCCTCCCCCAAGGTTGGAGACTGACCCAACGACAGAGCTAGGCCATGCGTCTCTGCACCCTGGACCCAGAACATTCTCCATGAATGTTTGTGAACTAACTGAATGTCAGAAAACTCTCCACTTCATTTTCCTCCCAAGGAAACAGCATACCATTTTCTTCTACTTTTTTTTTTTTTTTTTGAGACATGGTCTTGCTCTGTCACCCAGGCTTGAGTGCAGCGGTGAGCCACCACACCTGGCCCTGCATTCTTTATTAACAGTGAATTATCTTCTCATGGTCTGACAGAGTAATCATCTATATATTTTTAATTACACAATTCCTAAGAGATTTTCCTCCTAAATTCAGCAGTCTCCTTGGGTAGGAGAGGACAAAATAAGTCATTTCACATTCTGTCCTCAGGTGCTTCCTGATGAAGCCTCTTTTGAACATTTCTGTCTGTAGCATTGGTCTTAAAGCCAGAACACAGGGAACAATAGGAAAAACTGTGATGAAAGACACATTTCCGACATGACTGTGAAAGGAACAAAATTATAGTGTAACTGGATGCTTCTTTCTGATATGAAGAGCAAACTGCAAAGCCATCTCTCAGATCCATGTGGGTTTTGGCTGGGGGCGCTGATGGACATAAGGCCAAAGATCTGGAGGTGTGAGAAAGTAACAGAGCTTCTGCCCCATGCCAAGGAGAGTGTTCAGGTTCTGTCTCTTCCTCTAAGCTAGTGACCCAGAGGTAGCTCTCTTGGCCTTGATTTCCAACCTTAACACTAGTATGGCTTTTCTTGCTACCTTGTAGCGTGGTTGGAAGAATGAGACAATGGCATGATGCTGTCAATGGAGGGGTTCCTGATACATTCTTATTCCTTCCATGATTTTTCCCCCAATTCAAATTATTAAAATCAACTGGGAGGAGGGGCGGAATCCATCAAATAAAGAGCTTAAATGCTTACTTCGCTTTTTTGCAAATTCAAACAAAGTGAGAGGTTGTATGATGACCCATAGGCTGGGGAAAAGGCTGCGTCCCATTCAAGCTGCTGCTTGTGGCTGCTGGGTCTTCCAAGGGCACTGTGGTGAAGGCTCTTGTCCGGCCTCTGCCCAGCAGCTCAGGGAAGGGCCACCACGCAGATGGCTTTTGGAAGGGTTTTGTTGTATGACTCCTAGTGAAAATTTAGGCTTTGCGAGTATGTAGCCCTGTGCTGGAGAATGCACTGGCATATCCCACGGGGCACGGCCCCTTGCTGGGCTGCTGCACAGAGGCCAGACAGGAGCTCTCGCCAGCAGCCTCATGGGGACAAAGAATCATAGTTGTTTTCTGAGGGTAGATTATCACTCTGCAGGCAGAAATGAGGCCCAAGAGCCATGGGAGCCAGTGCTACCCCATCTGATAAGCTTGCATGTCCCTGAAGCATGTTTCAAAGAGAAGTTAAATTGATGAAATGTAAGCTGCGTTTTTCCCTTAAGGCAGCTCTACCTGTGTTAGGTGGTGAGTCTTACTCTTTAGTGCCCAGGATGGGTGAGAGAAAAGGCCGTAACTCCTTTGAAATTGTGATGAAAGCATGGACCTTCCAAGGCTCCAGAAAAATACACTCACATTTGCAATTTTGCACACAGACTTCAGGAATCCACAGAACTACTGGGCCTCTTCTGTAAACCACCTAAGCAGTGGTTCTCGCCCTTGGAGTCACATTAGAAATCGCCAGATGCCTGGGCCCTGCCTGGACTACCTACTAGATGAGAAGCAGCAGCAATCAATCCTTTCTGAGAGCTCTAGGGTGATTCTATGCATAGCAAGTGATGAGAGCTACTGTTTTAGGCTGAGAACGAGGCTTAACCATGGACTTGCATGTCTCTAAGCTATATGTTATGTGTTGGTTTTTTAAATGAATTTTTAGTTTATTGACATTGCCTGTGCCCAAGGTTTAATAAGTTCCTTAAGAAAAGCATCAGTCCTCAACAGTAACCATTTTTTAAGCTGTTTCTTGTTATTTACCTCTACGTAGCAAAATGGTAGGCACATAGTCCTCTGTCTTCGTTCATTCTTTTTAGCGATTACCTGCTAGTTTCCTTTTAGGACAGATGAGCAGCCTTGTCTGCCACCCGTCCTTGCTCTCCTCCACCCTCCTGGTGTAGGTAGCTGGCCTCTTCCGGTTACATTCATATTCAGTGTTTTGATTCTTGTAAGTAGGTTGAATATTGGCTGCTGAATCATTTTGTGTGTTGTTATTACATTTCCTTTCTTTTTACCATTTTTTTCTAGGAATTGATAAATTCCTCATTTTAGAATTTGTCTTGGATTCTTGGGTTCTGTTTAAGTGGCCCATACCCTCAAGCGTTCTGTGAAATGCATCATAGTGCAGTTGGTCGTGGGTGCCCTGTCCTCTCCTCTACCACCTCCAGTCGTCTTCAGGCTGCAGGGCAGCTGCTCTCCTGGGACTTCCTTTCCCTGCTGTCTGCATAGCTCCTTTCTTGGTCTCTGGAGTTGGATCCCTTCATTCCTGGATCCCATTTTTTCCCCTTCACATACTCTCTTGCTTTGATGGAACAGAACTTTCAGTAATTGTCTGAGAAAGTGTGCGTGAAGACTACATTTTTTTTTTTTTTACTTTTCATTTCTGAAAATATCTTTCTTGTATTCTCATATTTGACTTATATTTGTTGGATAGAAAATTCTAGGTGAAAAGTAATTTTCCATCTGAAATGGGAGGTATTGCTCTTCTTCTCTCCTGCCCACCATGGCTGTTGAGAAGCCTGATCTCATTTTGATGCTCATGGCTTTTATGAGAATTTCTCTTTTTTCCAGTGCATTGTGCAGTGCACTTGAAGAATCCATTCACGGCAGAGACCCATTTCCTGTAATGGAAAAATGTAATACATTAGTTATCTGATAACTTCCTCCTTTTGGTTTCCTCTTCGCTGTCTTTAAAACACTGCTGTGAGATTGATATTGGGCATTCTGGATTGATACTCTAATTTTGTTTTCCTATGTTCTTGAGGGAAGAATGGAGAAGGCCCTCACTGCAGCCCTGCAGCTGTTCATGCAGCATGGGGCCACATTTGCTTATGGAGAGAGCAGTTCTTCCACTCCCATCAGAACAGCAGGTGCGTACTAGGGCCCCCGTGCTCCTCCACAGCTCCCGCCCAGCTTGAGGGCCCAGAGCCACACTGGGCAGCAGACGCTTTCCATATAATGCTGACACTGTTTTCACCACACAGGTAGGCTGGCAAGGGCTCCATTTCAACCCTGGGAAACAAGCAAGGAAAGAGCTAAGGTGTGAGCTCTTGACAGGGGCCTGCCAAGCAAGTGAGATGCTCAATTTCCTTGAGCTTCAATCATACAGTTCTTCCTTGTAAAAACATTTTCCCCTTTAAATCTGAGCACAGTCTTCTCTATTCTTTATATCACTTCTGTATGAGAAAAAAAAAGCTGAACCATGAATACTGCCTTAAACCTTGGTATTCATGAGTTATCAAGGACTTGCATGTGGCACAGGTCATTGCTTAGAGATGATAACATCTTGAAGGTGACATAAGGTGTGGCACTCATTGAATATCCTTAATGATCTTATCTTTAGTTACCTCAAAACAAGCCATAGATTCTGAGTTAAGAGTATGGATCAATTTCTTTAAGTAAAGCTCGTCTCTTAAATACCTGGCAATAATCTATTTCTTAATAGAATAAATTGTTTCCCTGGCCATGCCAGGATCAGGAAAAAAGGCTGTGGTTACCTGAAAACAAACAAACAAACAAACAACAAACTTCAAAGGCTCTGATTATCATCACAAATGTTTTGAATCCAGTCTGTCTTTTGTGAAGGAAAAAAATATTTTGTGATTCTTTTTGAGACAGAGTCTCACTCTGCTGCCCAGGCTGGAGTGCAGTGGCACGATCTCGGCTCACTGTAGGCTCCGCCCCCCAGGTTCAAGCCATTCTTCTGCCTCAGCCTCCTGAGTAGCTGGGACTACAGACACCTGCCACCTCTCCCAGCTAATTTTTTGTATTTTTAGTAGAGATGGGGTTTCACCATGTTAGCCAGGATGGTCTCAATCTCCTGACCTCGTGATCCACCCGCTTTGGCCTCCCAAAGTGCTGGGATTACAGGTGTGAGCCACTGTGCCCGGCCTTGTAATTCTTTAAGCATGTGATTTCTAGTCTTACTGACAATCAGTGACTATTTAGGTATATTTTGAAAAATACTTAACTAAATTCTCCACAGACAACCAATATTTAAGATGGAATAGTAGATTGCTGAATTATTATTATTATTATTGTTATTATTATTATTTTTGAGACACTCTCACTCTGTCGCCCAGGCTGGAGTGCAGTGGCACGATCGCGGCTCACTGCAAACTCCACCTCCTGGGTTCAAGCGATTCTCGTGCCTCAGCCTCGAGTAGCTGGAATTACAGGTGACTGCCACCAAGCCTGGCTAATTTCTGTATTTTCAGTAGAGACAGGGTTTCATCCTGTTGGCCAGGCTGGTCTTGAACTCTTGACCTCAGGCAGTCTGCCCACCTAGGTCTCCCAAAGTGCTGGGATTACAGGCTTGAGCCATTGTGCCAGGCCTGAATTATTTAACTATATTTGAATAGTTAATTTTTAGGTGCGTCCCTGGCCTTGAGGAGAGGGATGGCTGCAGAGGGCATGTTCAGGGATAACGCACAGCTGCAAAACATATCTATGCCTAGTGTCAGCGTCCCTTCCTGGCGTGACTGTGAATAGATGTGGATATTGTGGGTAAAATCCGTACCTTCCTGCTGTGGGTACCCGGCCGCTGAGTGTACATGATTTCATCGTCGTTTGCCTTAATTCTTTTCTGTCTGTTGTTTTCTTTATTTCTATATAGTTCAGCTGAGCATCGTGAATGCAAACAGCAGTGAGCCCGAGACCCGCGGGAAGAAGAAAGACAAAGGAAAAGCAGCAATGTCCGAGAGCTGGGAAGCAGCCAATAAACAGAGCAGGAGCCTTTCATCGGCACTCCCTTCCCTGAGTTTGTATGTGTCCAGCTGGATGGTGGAAGAGGAACAGCTTAAATGTGACACCTTAGAAATAGTTTGTACGAGATCTACCATTGTGGTGCCATCCTGTGGTACAGACATTTGATACAATGGTTGATTTGAGAACTTTCTGATCTTACTTTTTAAGGAGTTTTATTTCATGTTATTTTATTTTTATTTATTTATTTTTTTTGAGACGGAGTCTCGCTCTGTCACCCAGGCTGGAGTGCAGTGGCGCGATCTCGGCTCACTGCAAGCTCTGCCTCCCGGGTTCACGCCATTCTCCTGCTTCAGCCTCCCGAGTAGCTGGGACTACAGGCGCCCACGACCACACCTGGATAATTTTTTTGTATTTTTAGTAGAGACAGGGTTTCACCGTGTTAGCCAGGAAGGTCTTGATCTCCTGACCTCGTGATCCGCCTGCTTTGGCCTCCCAAAGTGCTGGGATTACAGGCATGAGCCACCGCGCCCGGCCTTTTTAAGGAATTTTAATTCAAGATTTTATTTTTATTCTAGAGTCACAAACTTTTAGTGCAGGAATGGATTTTACTCACCCCTGAGTCCCACCCTCATTTTGCTGAAGGGATGGTGGGTGTGGAGAGAGGTAATTGCTCACCTAACATTGTGCATTGAGCTTGCGCGGGGTCGAACGCATCTCCCGAAGCCCCCAGCTTCTCATCCAGGGCTTCTCACGGGCTGTGCTGTCTCAGGGAGGTCTTGGGTTTCTGGCTAGGCACTGGCATAAACTTGGCTAAGGACAGTAAATCGACTCACTATAGGAATTTATTTCAGGACATTCCAACCAGAAAAATTAGGAGTGTGTGTGTGATCTTGGGGTTTAGTGTTGGTTGTTACAACTTTCTTTTCATGCTTTAAATTATTCTAAAACTTAAAAATATATGCGGAATTACTTTCAGATAAAAAGAAATTCGTAATGAGTAAGCACAGAGGTGAAAGGCGGACGACAGGTTTGAGGGAGCAGCTGTCACGCTGGCGCTCCACACTTCTGGCCTCAGCCAGGCCTGAGGCTCACGAGGAGACAGAACTCATAATCATTTTACATAATGCCAATTGTGATGTAGGCGTGGAAAAGAAGTCAGTCCCAGCCTAGGCCTCGACTGACACACACAAGGCACTACTCTCCCAGAGGGGTTCAGCATGGTGCCCTCAGCCGATCCTAGAGCCAAAGGGCCCATGGACGAGCGTTGCTCAATGTCTGCAGAGTGTTCCAGCAAGGTTCCCAGCTCAGACTCCAGCTTTGGATAAAGAACACTATTTCTTTAGTTATTTAGCAAAATTAAACTTTGTGTTATCTGCTGCAAGAGCACCAAGGGGGAGAAATCAGTTAATTTTTTTTAAATTTTGAGATGGAGTCTTGCTATGAAGTGATGTGATCTCGGCTCACTGCAACTTCTGCCTGCTGGGTTCAAGTGATTCCCTGCCTTAGCCTCCCGAGTAGCTGGGACTCCAGGTGCCTGCCGCCACACTCAGCTAATTTTTGTTTTGTTTTGTTTTGTTTTGTAATTTTAGTAGAGACATGGTTTCACCATATTGGCCAGGCTGGTCTCGAACTCCTGACCTCAGGTGATCCACCTGCCTCGGCCTCCCAAAGTGCTGGGATTACAGACGTGAGCCACCGAGCCTGGCCAAATCAGTTAATTATATTAGTATTTACGTGGTCTTAAGATCTTAGCTTAATGAACCAAATGTGATTTGTCAAAATTGACAACTGGGAAGGAAGGCCAAGAATCTGAAAGAAAGACCAGAGATTATGCACAAACTGGAACAGCAGAGTAAGTGATGGTCAATGAGTTCTATTACCATACTCTTCAAGTAAACTACCTCAGAGAAACTTTGTTAGGGTTTTTAAAACATTATCACTATTATTTGTTAAGACTAACACAGATTTTATGGAGGAACAGATTATATCTATAGACATTAGCTTAAAGCATAATGCTAAACTATTGTTTCATAAGTAGTTCTCACTTCTTGACTGTGTCCTGATGGTTTACTCTGCATTTGAGGTGTATTTTCCAATAAATGGACTTTATTTTACTAAGATCAAACATCTTAAGAAATGTGATTATGGGGCAATAGAAAAGGTCTTTCCTCTAAAAGTATCTGCTCTACTTGCTGTGAATATTCTTCCCTTCTCTGCTTTTCTGCTTTAAATTTCTCCTCATAAAGGTTCATTATGTTAACCAAGTTGTCTTTCAGTGAATACCCAAGTGGACAAGGCAGACTTCTGATCATGCAGCATCCACATCTTCATGTTCATGAGGCAAATAACCTCCTCTTTTCTAGCACTGGGGCACTGGAGTGAGGGTGAGTCCAGAAGGAAGGGATGGGAAGAGAGATAAAGTAGACATCAGAGAAAAAAATTATCAGAGACATAGAGGAGCATTATATAATGATAAAAGAATCAATCCAGCAAGAAGATATAACAATTCTAAGTGTGTATGCATCAAACAACAAAAATGTAAAATATGTAAAGCAAAAACTCATGGACTTAAAAGGAGCAATAGACAAATCCATAATTATAATTTGAAATTTCAGCACCCCTCTCTCAACAATGGTGTATTCATACAATGGAATATGATTCAGCCTTAAAAAGGAAGGAACTTCGGACACATGCTGCCACATGGATGAATCTTGAAGACATTATGCTCAGTGAAATAAGCTAGTTACAAAAGAACAAATATTGTATGATTCCACTTATATGAGGTGCCCAGAATGGTCAAATTCAGAGAGACAGGAAGCTGGTTCGTGGTTGCCAGGGCTGGGGTTTTGGGATGGGGGTGATAGGGAGTTGATGTTTAATGAAGACAGAGTTTCAGTTTGTGAATAGATAAAGTTCTGAAGATGGATTGCAATAGTATCAATACAATATGCTTAATGCTACTCAACTGCAGACTTAAAAATGATTATGATGGGAAATTTTATGCTATGTGTATTTTACCACAATTTTTAAAAAGTACATGTAGCGATCACTTGGGTTCTCGATAAAGGCCAATTGAATAAAAAATAATAAATTATAACATACCGTTCGGATTATTAGCCAGGTAACACTGCCTCTGGGGAAGGTAAGTGAGTAGTTGGAGGATAGTCTGTGAAGGAGACCATTGTGTGTCATTCTCCATCTTTTGAATTTTGAACAAGAGGTTACTTATTCAAAAGTCCAAAAATTAAAATAATAAAAAATTAGAAATACGCATTTTGAAATAATTGCAGTTGTTTGCTGTTGGGCCAGAGAAACTAGAAATAAACATATAATTGAAACATGTATCAGAAAAGGAAATATGAATGGTTCTTAAACAAATAAAAATGTTGCACTTTATTTATGATGTGAGAAAGGAATATTAAAACTACATGGAGAAGGCATTTTGCGCCTTCGAGATTGACAAAATCAAAAAGTTCAGTAATCCGTCCTCTTTTTGCGATGCTCTGGTGAAAGAGACATCCTCATAAATGGCTGGTGTGAGACTCAATTGGTACAACTGTCTTGAAGGAAATTTGGTTATAACTACCAAAACTAACATATGTGGCACACCCAAAATAGAAATGGTGAACCTTATGCACTTGATGGCAGCATCAACCCTGTTGCCCAGGCTCAGAGCTTACGCACTTCAATTTTACCATCACTGCTTATGAACTTGGTATTTGGTGACCTGCTTGTTTTTCATTCCACTGCTGTACATAAATAGAAAAGGAAGATTAATAGAGACAATGTCCTTGTCAGCAGCAAGAAGCAACGGCTCACAGGCAAATAAATACTAAAACCATAAGTACATTCACACATCATAGTTGCTTAACACAATGCTGTTGAATGAATGGGTGAATAACCAAACTTAAAAACAAGTCTATCCACAGTCAGTTTCACAGCAGTTCATGTGAAAAGACTTGGATGTTTTAGTTATCTAAGTGCAGAATAAGAGTCAAGAATTAGCGCTACATTAGGTTAAGTAAACTGTTTCATCCAGTGATGGTTTGATTGCAAGGAACAGAACTAATCTTGGCAACTTTCAGTAGGGGCATGTGTGTATGCTTTGAACAAATGTAGGGCTCATTGAACTAGTTCTTCCACTTCTAGAGATTTTCTCAGATACGCTTTCACACGTATGAGATGGAGTGGGTTCAGGTTATCCATTGCAGAATTGTTCATAACAGCAAAGGATTAGAAACAACACAAGTGCCCATTGACAGGCTACTTGAATAAATCAGGGTGCACCCCTGCAGTGGTGACAAGCCAGTCATGAGAAGGGGTGAGAGTTAATGCAGAAAGATATGTAATACAAAGATCTGCACACGAGGAAAATAAAAGTGAGGAAGCGTGTGTAAGAAATGCCATCTTCTGCCTATAAAAGGGGGATAGTCATTTATTTTTTATAAAGCTTACATTTGCATAAGAAAGTCTGAAAACATGTGCTGTGGTCTATTTATGTGTCTGAAAAAGTCATATGTTGAAACTTAATCCCCAACGTGAGGGTATTAAGAAGTGGGGCCGGCAGGGCACGATGGCTCGTGCCTGTAATTCCAGCACTTCGGGAGGCCGAGGAGGGCAGATCACGAGGTCAGGAGATCGAGACCATCCTGGCTAACATGGTGAAACCCTGTCTCTACTAAAAATACAAAAAATTAGCCGGGCGTGGTAGTCCCAGCTGTAGCCTGCCTGTAGTCCCAGCTACTCAGGAGGCTGAGGCAGGAGAATGGCGTGAACCCGGAAGGCAGAGCTTGCAGTGAGCCGAGATCGCGCCACTGTACCCCAGCCTGGGTGACAGAGTGAGACTCTGTCTCAAAAAAAAAGAAAAAAAAAGAAGTAGGGCCTTGGGAGGTGGCTAGGCCATGAAGGTAGAGCCCTTATTAATAGGATTAGTGCCCTTATAAATGAGATCCAAGGAAGTCTGTTCACCCCTTCCACCATATTAGGATGCAGCTAGAAGGGGCTATCTATGAAGCAGAGAGAGCCCTCTCCAGACACCAGATATGCTGGTGCCTTGATCTTGGACTTCCCAGCCTCCAGAACCGTGAGCAAGACATTTATGCTGTTTGTAAATTACCCAGTCTAAGGTATTTTTTTATAGCAGTTCAAATGAACTAAGGCAGTATATATAAGGTAGAATTGGTCACATTGGGAGAGGACTGGGTGGATAAGGCCAAGATGGAATTAAAACATTACTATTTCTAATAAAAATATAATACAAATAATATTAATATTATTTATTAATATTTATTATTAATGTTATTAATAAATATTATTAATACATAATATTTATTATTATTGATTCATTTGAATATAATACCCAAAACTAAATACATTTTAAGAAAGATTTAAAGACTTGGGTTTTAGAAATAATCTTAACAGATGAGGAACCAGAGGTACCAAAAACACACGATTTGCCAAAGCTCACTGAAATTAACAGCTAGTACGTGAAGAAATTGAGGTAAGCCTTCAGGTCTTTTGATTCACTGTGGTTTTTTTCCTGCATGGATAATTTTCTATTATTCTATGCCTTCCTTTCCTGGGTGCTAAGTAGTCATTTAATTTAGTAATTAATATTATTGATTTTCTGTAAGAAATATTATTGATTTCTTGTAAACAAGTTCAATTTACTCCTGTGATCAAATTCCTCTGTTGAAGAAAATAGAACAAAATCCAAATTCCTAGCCACAGCTTATCAGGTTCCCATAATCTGCCTCTGTCTCCTCACCGACCTCATCTCCAGTTGCCTTTCTCTCTGTTTGTTTGTTCTTTCTTTCTTTCTTTCTTTCTTTCTTTCTTTCTTTCTTTCTTTCTTTCTTTCTCTTTCTTCTTTCTTTCTTCTTTCTTTTTCTTTCTTTCTTTTTTCTCTTTCTTTCTTCTTTCTTCTCTCTCTCTTTTTCTTTCTTTCCTCTCTATCTTTCTTTCCCTCTCCCTCCCTCCCTCCCTCCCTCTCTCTCTCTCTCTTTCTTTCTTTCTTTCTTCTTTTCTTTCTTCCCTTTCCTCCGTTTCTTTCTTTCTTTCGACAGAGCCTCACTCCATTACCAGGCTGGAGTGCAGTGGTGCAATCTTGGCTCACTGCAACCTCCACCTCCCAGATTCAAGCAATTCTCCTGTCTCAGCCTCCCAAGTAGCTGGGACTACAGGGGTGCACCAGCGTGCTAATTTTTTGTATTTTTAGTAGAGATGGGGTTTCACCATGTTGGCCAGGATGCTCTTGATCTCTTGACCTCATGATCCACCTGCCTCAGCCTCCCAAAGTGTTGGGATTACAGGCGTGAGCCACTGCACCTGGCCACTCCTTTCTATTCTCATTGTCCTTCCATCCATACATTGACTCGTCCAGCTCATTCCTGTCTCAAGACTTGGCACTGATTCCACTTGCCTGGAACATGCTTCCTTCTGATTTTCAAGTGTCCGATGCCTTTTCATTCAGATCTTGGCTTCAGTGTTACCTCAGATATGGCTTCCCTGACATCCTACCTAAAAGAATCAACCCCAAACCATCCCCACCTGCAAATAACTCACTCATTACTCTGCTTTATTTCTTCATCACATGTATTTTGGTGAAGGAATGGATTAATAAATTGGTCGTTAACAGCCACACTTTCTTTGCAGATGATAATCATTTTATCTCGTGGATCTGGTCCTGTTTCCAGTAGTCACACTGCTCTGGCATGGTGCTGGCATCAACTCTTCATAAAACTGCCAGATCCAGATCTTAGCCAACGTTAAATTCTTGGCGAGGGCCTTGCGAACCTTCTTAGAAATTACCTTACAATCTTAACAACCAGAAGAAAAAAAATAAAGGTGAACCTTGTTCATGATGATCTGAATGAACAGAATTATTTCACCACATCCTTTCTGGAAATTGTTTCATTATATTTTCAGAGCAACTACTATTCTATGTGTAATTTTTATAAAACAAAACAAAACTAAATCAAAAGTACAGGGCCAAATAAAAAGAGTTGAAAAGAAAGCTTGGCCTATTTAACTTTGGTTATAGATGGGCAGAAGATAAGAAAAAATGTATTGGGTTTGCTATCAATGTGAAAGGGAACTAATTCCTTATAATAAGGAATTTTATGAGAGAGAGAGAGAGAGCACTTAAAACTATATTCCTGGTTGGTATGTGGGGAATGAAGCTCACTGATTAATTTTTTTTTTTTTTTTTGAGACCAAGTCTCGCTCTGTCACCCAGTCTGGAGTGCAGTGGTGCAATCTTGTCTTACTGCAATCTCTGCCTCCCAGGTTCAAGCGATTCTTCTGCCTCAGCCTCCCAAGTGACTGGGATTACAGGCGTGAGCCACCACGGCTGGCTAATTTTTGTATTTTTAGTAGAGACAGGGTCTTATCATGTTGGCCAGGCTGGTCTCGAACTTCTGACCTCAAGTGATCTGCACACCTTTGCCTCCCAAAGTGCTGGGATTACAGGTGTGAGCCACCATGCCCAGCTTCATTGATTAAATTTTAATCAAAATATGTATTTATTAATATCTGTCGAGTCCTACATGCATACACTAACCCAATCCATCTTAGATCATCCATATACATGCATACATTTCTTTTGCTATAAAACGTTTATTAAAACGTTTCTCCACTGGGTGAAATCTAGAATCTATATTGAGCTTTAAGATCTTTATGTTCCAATATTTCCAATCCTATCACTTCCCTACACAAATCCTCTATTTTATTCTGTTCATTTCTCCTAGAATTTGCACAGTACTTTTTTTCCCCCCTGAAATATTTTCCTTCTTCATCAGTTCTTCAAGTTCTGTTCATCCTTTAGGACTAGTTTGATCCGCAACTTTCACGAAAAGTGGGGTTTGACACGCACTTTTCATGTGGGGTTGATGTGAAAACTCTTATGTCTACCAACATACTCCCAACAGAACAGTGCTGTCACCCCACAGAAGTGCCGCGTGCTGCCCCTGTGCAGTGCCCCCTTCCTCTTCTCTAACTTGGACAGTCAGGAACCTGGGTTCTGTCCTGTCCTTTTGCCATTTCCTGAATGTCATGTGAAAGGAATCATACATGTGGTTCTGACTTCCTTCACTTTGCACAATATAGTTTCACTCATTCCATTATGTGCATCAAAAGCGTATTCCTTTTTATTACTCAGTACTCTATCAAACAAATGGAACACTGCTTATTCATTTAACTGTTGAAAGGCATTCGAGTAGTTTCAGTTTTTAACAATTATTAATAAAACTGCTATAAACATTTGTATATGTGTGTATGTAGGTCTTTGTGAGAACAGAATTTTTCATTTCAGTTGTGTAAATATCTAACAGTGGGATTGCTAAGTGGTATGGAAAGTGTACGTTTCAGTCTATGGGAAACAGTCAACAGTATTTCCAAGTGGTGTACCATTTTGCATTCCTATCGGCAAAGTGTGAACATCCCAGTTGCCTGGAATCCTCATCAGCACTTGGTATTGTCAGTTTTTATTATTTCAGCCCTTATATTAGGAATGTAGTGGTATCTCATCACAGTTTTAATTTGCATCTTGTAGTGACTAAGAATGTTGAGTATCTTTCCACATGCTTCTTTGACAACTGTATATCTTCTGTAATGAAGTATATGTTAAGATCTTTTGCCAATTAAAAAAAAAACTTGTTTCCTTTCTTGAGTTGAGTTTGGCGATTTCTTTATATATTTTAGATACAAATTACACATGTGATCTGTAAATATTTTCTGCCAGTCTATGACTTGTCTTTTCACTTGACAAGCCATCAGTTTTTCCGTTTATGGATTATGTTTTTGGTGTTCTAAATTTCTTTGCCAAACTCAATGTGAATCATATTTTCTCCTGTTTTCCTCCAAAAGTTTATGGTTTTATGTTTTATATTTGGGTCAATGATCCATTTTGAGCTAATTTTTGTATAAGTTGTGAGGTATGTGTGAAATTTATTTATTGATAGCATATGGATGATGATTTTTCCAGCACTATTTGTTAAAAAGACTATCCTTACTCTACTGAGCTCCCCTCACTCTTTTATAAAGAATCAGTTGATCATACCTGTGTGAATCAACTTCTGGCTCTCTTTTTAGTTCCATTGGACTATGTGTCTAATCTTTTGCCAAAAGCATATTGTCTTGATTGTTGTAGTGTTATAGTACAGTATATAATATAATATAGCCTTAAAATTGAGTAGTGTGCATCTTCAGCCTATTTTTGTTTTATTTCAATATTGTTTTGACTATTTTAGGTCTTTTGCCTTTCCTTATACATTTTAAAATCAACTTGTAGATATTACAAAACTGTTGGGATTTTGACTGAGATTTCATAGAATTTATAAATCAAACTGTGAAATTTAACCTCTTAACAATATTGAGTCTTCCATTCCATGAACATAGCACATCCCTCCATTTACTTAAGTCTTTTGTGGTTTTTTACACCAATGTTTTATAGTTTGCAGATACAGATCCTGCATATGTTTTGTTAGATTTATACTTAAATATTTAGTATTTTATTTTGGGAGTGCTATTTAAAATGGTATTACTTTTAGAATTTTAATTCCAATTCTTTATTGACAGTATAGAGAAATTTATTTGATTTTTTAATATTGATTTGGTGTTCTGTGAACTTACTAAACTCACTAATTTGGTAGTAATTTGTATATTCTTTGAAATTTTTACAGCGATAATTACATCAACTTTAAAACAGTTTCATTTATTTATTTCCAATCTGTCTGACATTTATGTATGTATGTATGTGTGTATGTATATATATGTGTTTTGCATTATTACATTGACTAGAAATTCCAGTTAATATTGAATCTTAGAGAATTTATGATGATAGCTATAGGGGGTATGTAAATGTCCTTTTTCAGGTTAAGAATGCTTTCATTTTTCCTAGTTTGCTGAGAGGTTTTATCATAAATAGATGTTGAATTTTGTTACATGTGTTTTCTGTATCAGTTGAGATGATCATATGTTTTTCTTTTTTGTCTGTTAGTATGGTGAGTTACATTGATTGCTTTTCAAAAGTTTAAACTGCCTTGCCCTCCTAGAATAAACCTCAGTTGGTTATGATGTATAACCTTTTTTTTTTTTGAGACAGTTTTGCTCAGTCCCCCAGGCTGGAGTGCAGTGCCTGCGATCTCAGCTTACTGCAACATCTGCCTCCGGGTTCTCCTGCCTCAGCTTCCTGAGTAGCTGGGATTACAGGTGCATGCCACCACGCCTGGCTAATTTTTGTACTTTTAGTAGAGATGGAGTTTCGCCATGTTGTTCAGGCTGGTCTCGAACTCCTGACCTCGTGATCTGCCCGCCTCAGCCTCCCAAAGTGCTGGGATTATAGGCATGAGCCACCGCGCCTGGCCAATGTATTATCTTTTATGTGTATTGCTGGATTCAGTTTGCTAAATACTTTGTTGAGGATTTTTGTGTCTTTGTTATGAAGGATATTAGTTTGTAATTTTTTTTCTATGGCAATATTGTTGTATGGTTTTGGTATTAATATAATGTTGGCATCATACAGTAAGTTAGTGTTCCCTCCTCTAGACTGTATAATAGAATTGGTATTATTTCTTCTGTAAATGTTTTGTAGAATTCATGAGCAACAGTTTTGGGGGAAGATTTTCAACTACGAATTTAAAGTATTTAATAGATTTAGGACTATTCAGTTTATCTATTTTTCCTTAACTGAGTTTTTGCTTATGTCTTCAAAATAGTTGTTCTGAATCATGGACATTTTTGTACTATTGCATTGGCTAGATTTGTGAGTATAGAATTTTTTCTAGAATATATTTATAATCCTTTTTCTGTCTAAGGGGGCCGTAGTGATGACATTCTCTCCTTCCTGATATTGGTTAATTTGTGACATTCATTTTTCTCTTTGTGGTTAGAGTGTATCGATTTTATTGATTTTTTTCTTTCAAAAAACCAAAAATAAATTTCACTTTCATTGATTTCTAATCTTTTCTATTTTTTTTCTGCTTGCTGTAAATTTAATTTCTCTTTATTCTCTGCTACCTTAAAGGTGGAAGCATAGATTGCTGATTTGAGACCTTTAATCTTTTTAAATACAGGCATACCTCATTTTATTGCACTTTGTTTTATTGCACTTCATAAATATTGCATTTTTTACGAATTGCAAGTTGTTGCAACCCTGCTTTGAGCAAATCTACCAACTCCATTTTTCAACAGCATGTGCTCACTTTGTATTTCTGTGTCACATTGTGGTAATTATTGCAATATTTCAAATCTTTTCTTGACTATTGTATCAGCTATGGTGATCTGTGATTAGTGACCTTTGATATTACTATTGGGGGTACCACGACCCACTCCCATCTAAGATGGTGAACTTAACTAACAAATATTATGTGTGCTGATTACTCCACTGGCTGGCCATTATCTCATCTCTCTCTCCTTGGGCCTCCGTATTCTCTGAGATGCATTAATATTGAAATATCTTATCTTTAACATTTCTTATGAAGTATATATGCTCGTGATAAATTCCCCAGATTATTGTTTGTTTGAGAAAGTCCTTATTTTTCTTAATATTTGAAAGGTATTTTTGCTGGTCATAGAATTCTGGGTTGACAGGTTTTTTTTTTCCTTTTCAGTGCTTAAAAGATGTTATTCCATTGCCTTTAAACTTGGATGGTTTCTGAAGAGAAATCTGCTTACATTCTTATTTTTGTTCTTCTGCATGTAGTGTGTTTCTTTCTTTGGTTGCCTCCAAAATGTTTTCTCACTTTTGCTATCAGCAGTTTGAATATGCCTGCTGTCCATCACTGGGCTGTATTTTCCTGGTATTTATGTTGTTTGCTATTTTCTGAGATTCCTGTGACTGTCGTTTAATGTCTCTGATTAACTTCAGAAAATGCTCAGCCAATATTTTTTCCTAATATTTCTTCCACCCTATTTTTTCTGTCTTGTGTTGTGGGATCGCACAATTGTGTGTGCTAATGTGCTACAGCTGGGAAACTCTGAGCCTGAGGAATAAATCTCTTTTTTCGTTAGAAGTAAGCAAGTCTGCTCTTTGTCTGAAAGGGAGACATGATATTATTTCTCAAGGCTTCTGACTGCAATCCCAGCCCTGACATATGGCCTGGGTGAAATGTGAGCAAGCCCGGGCATTCTTGGCCTTGTAAGACATGTAGGAGCAGAAGAGACCAATAGAGGACTGGCTCTGTTTGCCATCTACCCTTTGGGCCTTTAGCATTTTGGCCTCTGTTCAATAAAGTTGTTAAACTTGATTTGGGTCATCATGACACATGGTTTGATTAAGCCACATGGGCAATGCAGCTTTGACCACTATACATGGCATAACCAAGACCACTTGAGCATCAGGATAAGCATATGAATTTGTATCAGTTATACTGAAACACGGTTGTGCTGGTCTATGTGTTTGTACAGGTATGAGGGTATCTACATTTGGGAGCTGAATTGGTGGCATCAGACACACCAGAGTAGTTCAGGATTGACCACGTCACCATGAATTTTTCTCTTTTCATAGTGTGTTCTTAGAATGAGAGAAACAGCAGTGAATCAGATTGCCAGCTGCAACTACTGTTTGATTCAGGCAGGCCACATAATTGTTTCACCAAGCTTTAGTGCTGAATCTGGAGGACTAAGAGATCATTAATTATAACTCCATCTTCACTTCTCCAAGGGTCTTAAGTGTTTTCTTCTTGGATGCCAGGATTGTTGTTCTTCCACTGTCACAAAATTGGTTTGCCCTTCCCAGTAGCAACAACTTCACATTTTTCCTAATTACCTCCTGCTTATACCCAGAGTATTTTCCTGAAAGGATCAAGTATGAGACAGACAAGGATATTTTTTACAAAATACATAAAGACTCATTATGTCTCTCATCTCAGCCCACCTGGAACACCTTAGGAGGACTCAGCAATGTAACCAACCAGTTGGATGTCATCCACATGAACCAAGGCTTTATCAAACCAGCAATAGAATCTACATAACTGAACCAAAATTATGTTTGAATTCCCTAGACCTCTTGTCTGGGCTGCCAACTAGACTGGCATGGGGTTGCTATTAGAAGAAAGAAAAAAAATCATGTCTATAAACATTCAGGATGGAATCTCAAGTTTTCGGTATTATCTATATAAATTCCCACCACTTTTGTTGTGATCATTATGCAGGAAGTAGCCAAGAGGAGATGAACTCATTCTACTGATGTCAGTATTCATCAAACTACCTTAATTTAGTGTATTAAGAGAAGGTGTGGGAGAGTCAGAAATAATTTGCCAATGACTTTTTAAAAGTCAATTTCACCTCTTGATGATATATGCCAGTAGCCTGAGCGTAGTAAGAAAGATAAAATGCCCATCAAATACTTTGATTATTGGAACATTGTTGGGTAGATTCTGTGACAAAGGTATACCACTGGCCTGTGTACATGACCCTGAAATCCAAAAATGTGACACAGTTTAGTTTAGAGGGCTAAAATTTTGTGAGCAGAGTCAGCTGATCAGTTTGAAATAGCTACAACCTATGTTGTAGCAACCTTGAAAATTAGGATAAAGTCAAAGACCACTATAGGTCAGTAAATTACTTTCAACAAGAACTTAGTAGTAGGTTAACAGCTGCTACTGCTTCTTCATCTTCTTCTTTTTCTTTTTCTTTTTTTTTTTTTGGAGGGTACTCAGTGGCTATTGCCAGGCCATTGTATTTGGCCTCTTTGAGTACTCTGGCAGTCACAGTCTTTAAAGCTACAATTTCCTTTCTCAGCATGGGATTCTATACTGTTTCTGCAGAATTATCCAGGCAGAAACAGGGATAATATCTCTACAGCCTGCAGTCCCTGAATTTGAGAATCTTTTTTTATGAGTCAGAGTTCAACCAGGAAGCAGAATGATGGATTCAAGGAACACCACAAACTTGTTATTTTTCTCATTTTTTTTTTTATTTGAAGTGTGGGAGTGATAATATTCCTGCATTGTAGATCCCTGAGAGGAAACTCCTGGCTGATTTTTAAATTACACATTTTTAAACTACACAGTGATAATATTCCTGCTATGTAGATCCCTGAGAAGAAAACTCCTGGCTCATCAAACCTGGGAGATTTCAGACTGAAGCATAAGCTAAAGACATGTAAAGTAAGCAACTTTAGATGTCTTTCTCAACCTTTATACAGCCTATATAGAAGAGGATAAAAACCTATAGACAGCCAATTGTGCTGCTGCTGACATGCATGAGTGAGCATGGATCCCACTGCCAATGCCCTGATGAAGTGCTTGGCTGGCACCCCCCTATCAGAGTGTTGTTGTCAGTGGACTGGGAACACCTTGGCCCCTCCAATGAAGCTGGTACTAACCTTGAGAGGCCAGAGAGCAAAGCCAGGGTTGTAGACTTTTTAGCAGAAACCCTACACGCCAGATGAGATTAGAGGCCTATATTTAGCATTCTTAAAAAAAAGAAATTCCAACCAAGAATTTCACACCTGGTCAAGCTAAGCTTTGTAACTGAAGAAGAAATAAGATCTTTCTCAGGCAAGGAAATGCTAAGAGAATTCATTACCCCCCAGACCTGCCTTACAAGAGACCCTTAACAAAGTGCTAAATATGGAAATGAAAGATCAGTCACCACAAAGACACACATAAGTGCATAGACCATTGACACCATAAAGCAACTACACAATCAAATTTGCATAATAAGCAGCTAACACCACAATGACAGGATCAAATCCACACATATCAATATTAACTGTAAATGTAAATGGGCTAAATGCCCATTAAAAGGCACAGAGTGGCGAGTTAGATAAAGAAGCAAGACCCAGTGGTATGCTGTCTTCAAGAGACCCAGCTCACATGAAATGACACCCATAGGTTCAAAGTAAAGTGATGGAGGAAAATCTGTCAAGCAAACAGAAAACATAAAAAAGCAAAACAACTTTAAACCAACAATAATCCAAAAACACAAAGAAGAGCATTACATAATGATAAAGGATTCAATTCAACAAGTAGACTTAACTATCCTAAATATATGTGCATGTAACACAGGAGCACCCAGATACATAAAACAAGTTTTTAGAGACTTACAAAGAGACTTAGATAACTGCACAATAATGGGAGACTTCAACATTCCACTGACAGTATTAGATCATTGAAGCAGATAACAGTACTAGATCATTGAGGCAGAAAAGAAGTAGAACATTGAGGCAGAAAAAAGATATTTAAGACCTGAACTTGACACTTGACCAAATGGACCTAACAGACATGTACAGAACTCTCCACCCAAGACAACAGAATATATATTCTTCTCATCTGCACGTGGCACATACTCTAAAATCCACCACACAATCAGCAATCAATTTTCAGCAAATTAAAAAAAATTATACCAACCACAATAAAATAAAATAAATCAATACTAAGAAGATTGCACAAAACTATACAATTACATGGAAATTAAACCTCCTGCTCCTGAATGACTTTTGGGTAGACTATGAGATTAAGGCAGAAATCAAGAAATGTTTTGAAACTAATGAAAACAAATATACAACAAAGCACAATATCTGGGACACAGCCAAAGCAGTATTAAAAGGAAAGTTTATAGCATTAACTAAATTTCCACGTCAAAAAGTTGGAACATCTAAAATTAAATACCTAACATTAGACTTACAGGAACCAGAAAAACAACAGCAAACCAACCCCAAAGCTAGCAGAAGACAAGAAATAACTAAAATCAGAGCTGAACTGAAAGAAATTAAGATGTGACAGTCTATGTAAAAGATCAACAAACCAAAAGTTTTTTTTAAGAATAAATAATATTGATAGACCACTATCTGGATTAATAAAGAAAAAAAGAGAGAAGATCCAAACATAATCACAAATGACAAGGGTGACATTGCCACTGGCCCCACAGAAATTCAAAGCACCCTCAGAGATTGGTATAAATACCTCTATGCTCATGAACTAGAAACCTACAAGAAATGTATAAATTCCTGGAAGTATACAACCTCCCAAGGTTAAACCAGGAAGAAATTGAAATCCTGAACAGACCAATAACAAGTTCTATAATTAAGTAATAAAAAGCCTACCAACCAGAAAAAGTACTGGACCAGATAGATTCACGGCAAATTCTACCAGATATATAAAGAAGAGCTGGTAACATTCCTACTGAAACTATTTCAAAAAATTGAGGAGGAGGCACTCCTCCTTAACTCATTAATGAGGCCAGCATCATTCTGATAGCAAAACCTGGCAGAGACACAACAAAACAAAACAAAACAAAACAAAACAAAACAAAACAAAACATCAGGCCAATACCTTTGATGAACATAGATGCAAAAGTTCTCAACAAAATACTAGCAAACAAAATTCAGCAGCACATCAAAAAGCTAATCCACCACAGTCAAGTAGGCTTTACCCCTGGGATGCAAAGTTGGTTCAATGTACACAAATCAGTAAATGTGATTCATTACACAAGCATAACTAAAATTTAAAAACCACATAATTATCTCAATAGATGCTAAGAAAGGCTTTCAATAAAATTCAACATCCTTTCCTGTTAAAAACCCTCAACAAACTAAGCATTGAAACAACATACCTCAAAATAATAAGAGCCATCTATGACAAACCCACAGCCAACATCATATTAAATGGGTAAAGCTGGAAGTGTTCCCATTAAGAACTGGAACAAGACAAAGATGCCCATTCTCACCACTTCTATTCATCACAGTTCTGGAAGTCCTAGCCAGAGCAATCAGGCAAGAGAAAGAAAAAAAAAGGCATCCAAATAGGAAAAGAGGAAGTCAAATTATCTCTGTTTCCAGATGATGTAATTCTATATCTAGAAAACCTCATAATCTCTGCCCAAAAGCTCCCAGATCTGATAAACAATTAAAGTTTCAGGATACAAAATCAAAACAAAATCAATGCAAAAATTCAGTAGCATTTCTGTACGTTAACAGCATCGAAGCTGAGAGCCAAATCAAGAATGCAATACCATTCACAATAGCCACAAAAAGAACAAAAAAACCTAGGAATACAGCTAACCTGGGAGGTGAAAGATCTCTACAATAAGAATTACAAAACACTGTTGAAGGAAATCAGAGATAACACAGACAAATGGAAAAACATTCCATGCTCACGGATAGGGAGAATCAATATAGTTAAAATGGCCATACTACCTAAAGCAATTTACAGATTCAATGCTATTCCTGTCAAACTACCAATGATGCTTTTCACAAATTTAAAAATAAAATTCTAAAATTTATATGGAACCAAAAGAAGAGCCCAAGTAGCCAAAGCAATCCTAAGCAAAAAGGACAAAGCCCCCGAGGCATCATGTTACCTAACATCAAACTATTCTACAAGGCTACAGTAACCAAAACAGCATGGTAGTGGTACAAAAACAGACACATATACCAATGGAACAGAATAGAGGACTCAGAAAGAAAGGTACACGCCAATAATAATCTGCTCTTCAACAAAGTGGACAAAAATGAGTGATGGGGAAAGAACTTCCTATTCAATAAATAAATAAACAGTGCTGATATAACTGGACTTATTAGAGACTATTAAGAATTGAGAGCCTCTACAACAAATTATATACAATATCCAATTTTCAACTAGAATTACTAGGTTTTTAATGAATGAGAAAAGTGTAACAATTACAGAGGTGAAAAAAGCACCCACTAATAACCAACCCTAATTGAGTGCAAAAGTTGGAGGTAGTAGATAAAGCTTTCAACATAGCTATTATAAATATCCAAAAAAGTTAAGGAGAAATATGTTCAATGGATTAAAGGGAAATATACTAATAGTAAGTGAACAAATATGGAACATCCAGAGTGGTACAGGAACTATGACATGAAATTAAATAGAAAATCTAGAGCTAAAAAGTAAAATAAATGACAAATTTACTAAAATGACCTCAAAGTAGATTTGGTATGGCAGAAGAAAAAGCTCATAACATGAAGCTATATTAATAGAAATTACCCAATCTAAAGAACAGTGAGAAAAGTGGATAGAGCCTCAGAGACCTGTGGGACAATGTCAGTCATCCCAACATCCATGTAATTGATGATCCAAAAGGAAGGGGGCAGAGAAAATAGGATAAAAAATATGTGGAGAAATAGTGGCTAAAAATGTCTTAAGTTTGGCAAAAAATTTTGAGTTACAATTCCAAGAAGTTCAACAAATCTCAAGTGAAATAAACAAGAGAAAAATTACAACTTTTAGTCAAATTGCTGAAAAAGGATAAAGATAAAAGATAAAAAGAGATACTAAATGCACTGAGAAAATCATGACACATCACATAAGAGACAAAAAAGATACATTAAATTGCTGACTTCTCATTAGAAATAATATTAATAGAGTCCCAAAACATTGGAAAGTCATATTCAAATTAGTACATGAAAAAAAATCTTTTGACTAAGAATTTTATATCCAACAAAACTATCCCACAAAAAAAGGAGGGGCAAAAGAAAGGCATTTTCAGATAACCAAAAACAAATAAATTGTTTTTAGCAGACCTGTTCTCTTAGGCATGAAGGTCTTTATGTAGCATTTCCATATTAAGGAATTTTTTTAAATGAACAAAAGAAAAATTACAACCTTTAGTCAAATTGCTGAAAGATAAAAAGATAAAGATAACAGATAAAAAAAAGAGATACTAAATGCACTGAGAGAAAAATGACATATCACTTAAGAGGCGAAAAAGGTACATTAAATTGTTGACTTCTCATTACAAATAATATTAATAGGTGTATCACCTAGGGTCAAATCATGAGACAGAATCTATACAGTAATTTGAGAAGAGAAAGTTTAATATTAAGAGTTATTAACTATCACAAAGGATTGGAGTAACAGGGTATTGATGAGTAAGAAGTAAAGTAATATAAGGAGCAGCCACTACTTCTAAGGTTGAGATAGAATATCCAAAGAAGAAATCCCCTAGCCAGGGCTGAAATCAAGACTTGTGACCTTTTGTGTTTGGTTGCTTTCAGTTAGCATAAATTCTGTCAGCTTATTCATATTCAACCATGTATAATAGTGTATAGTAGGAATAACAGAGTCCCAAAACATTGGTAAACCATATTCAAATTGGTAAATGAAAAAAACATTTCAACCAAGAATTTTATATGCAACAAAACTATCCTACAAAAAAGAGTTTATTCCTTTTTATGGCTAAATAAAATTCTATCATATGTATACACTACAATTCTTTTATCCATTCATCCATTGATGGACATTTAGGCTATTTCCCACTTTTGGCTACTTGGACAGTGCTGCTATGAACATGAATGCATAGGTATTTCATTGAGTACTTGTTTTCAATTCTTTTGGGCACATACCTAGGATCCTTCACTTGTGTTGAATAATTTTGCTGAATATAGAATTCCAAGTTTGTGGAAAATTTTTTTCCAACACTTTAAATATTTAACTTCATTCTTTTCTTGCTTACATGGTTTCTGATGAGGAGTGTGCTGTGATTCTTATGCTTGTTCCTCTGTAGGTAAAGTATTTTCTCCAGCTTCTTTCAAGATTTTCCCATTGTCTCTGGTTTTCTGCAATAATTTTAGAAAGTTCACAGCTATTATTAAAATATTTCTGCTGCTATGTTCCCTTCTTCTAATATTCCAGTTACACCTGTTATACGTTTTGAGATTGTCCTACAGTTCTTGGATATTCTGTCCTAGCTTTGTTTTTTATTATTTTTTTCTCTCTACATTTAAGTTTGGGAAGTTTCTATTGGTCTATCTTCATGTGTACTGATTCTTTCCTCAGCCAAATAGTCTACTAATGAGCTTATCAAAGGCAGGCTTCATTTCTGTTACAGTGTTTTGATTTCTAGTATTTTCTTTTTTGTTTGTTTGTTTGTTTGTTTGAGACGGAGTCTCGCTCTTTCGCCCAGGCTGGGGTGCAGTGGCACGATCTCGGCTCACTGCAAGCTCTCCCTCCTGGGTTCACGCCATTCTCCTGCCTCAGCCTCCCCAGTAGCTGGGACTACAGGCGCCCGCCACCACGCCCAGATAATTTTTTTTGTATTTTTAGGAGAGACGGGGCTGTGTTAGCCAGGATGGTCTCAATCTCCTGACCTCGTGATCCGCCTGCCTCGGTCTCTCAAAGTGCTGGGATTAGAGGCGTGATTCTTTTGATTCTTATGTTCAGCTTTTTGTTGTTGTAAGGATGGGACTGGTGGCTTCTTAGGAAATTTAAAGACCTGACCTTTTGCTTAGCAGAGTGCTTTGAGATTGGCATTAAAGTGTCTATCTTTTATTGTTACAACCTATAGCTTAACACTTACACCATTAGGTTCTATAAGCAAAATGGGATGGTGAAACAATTAGCAACATTAGTGTCAAAAAGCATTTTTGTTGCCTTTAATAAAGGACTTTATTTTCTATGTTGGTTGAATCAACTCATCCACAAACTGAAGATATAGTTGTTGAAAAGGTCCAAAAGTCACAAAGACATTTCATAGACACATATATTTTTCTCTAGAGGCAGTAGAATTTTTATTTACAAACCAAAAGTTTTTTAAGACATTGAACTTTTACAGGCAAGGATCTTTATATAAAATATTTATGTAAGAATCAAAGTCATATATTGAACTGAATGTGGTTGAAAAATTACTTTAAAATTTACATAGTAACTGTCAACTATTTGCTTAAATTAACAAAATACTTGTTTTTTATGATTCTGATGACTTCATAATAGTTTTTGGGTTTTTAATCCTTAAGAATATTATATCAATACGCATTAGTTAAATCAGCACTATCCTAGACATTTGGAATAGTTTTTTACACATTAAAATTTTCTGTTATTACTTTGACATAACAGCTACAATCAAATATAACCTTTCAGAAACTACCTGGTAAACATTGTGATATTTATTCCTGTGGCTAAAATTTTTTTTAAACAGCTTTTAAATAGTAAAAACCATTAAGATGCTTATTTGAGTTTTGACCAAAAGGCCTTCTTGTTGTGCAAAACCTCTGGACTGACAGAAATATCTCTGCTTTCAAAATTATATATGGCTACATTAAGGAATTTTTAAAGTGTCTCTTGTAAGCAGTGAAAAGGCTATATGTGGTTGCTCATTAATCTTTGCTCCTGTGTGTATTTTTGTGTATGATGTATGTTGTGTGCATGCATATGTATGTCTGTGAAGTTTTATCTTCTTGATTGTTTTGTAGAAAATTATTTTAGTAGTTTCCAATATGAGGCATTTTTAGAAGCTCGTTTATGCCATGTTTAGATTGCATAGTGGTTTGTTATTGAATATGATGATATTACATTATTATTTATCTCATATAATTTTGTAATTATAATGCTTATTCATCTTCCCAGCTGTCTCTTTGAGGTCACCAACTGTAGCTCTATAAAACCTCAGCTTTGTATCATAAAACTGCATTCATTTTGAACATATGCACGCAATCAGTTTACAGACATGGTCACGTCTTTTTTTCCTCAACTTTTATCTGCTGGAACTTTACAAGCCAGATTAGCCAGAATTCCAGAATTTTCCTTATGGTTTTTTCTTCTTGATTTTATCATCCAAAAACTCTGGTGGCTTAACAGCTGGTGCATCCTTACTTTTTGTTTTATTATTATACTTTAAGTTTTGGGATACATGTGCAGAACATGCAGGTTTGTTACATAGGTATACACGTGCCATGGTGGTTTGCTGCACCCATCAACCCATCATCTACATTAGGTATTTGTCCTAATGCTATCCCTCCTCTAGCCCCCCACATCCTGACAAGCCCTGGTGTCTGATGTTCCCCTCCCTGTGTCCATGTGTTCTCATTGTTTGACTCCCGCTTATAAGTGAGAACATGCAGTGTTTGGTTTTCTGTTCCTGTGTTAGTTTGCTGGGAATGATGGTTTCTAGCTTTATCCATGTCCCTGCAAAGGACTTGAACTCATCCTTTTTTATGGCTGCATAGTATTCCATGGTGTATATGTGCCACATTTCCTTTATCCAGTCTATCACTGATGGGCATTTGAGTTGGTTCCAAGTCTTTGCTATTGTGAATATTGCTGCAATAAACATATGTGTGCATGTGCCTTTATAGTAGAATGATTTATAATCCTTTGAGTATATGCCCAGTAATGGGATTGTTGGGTCAAATGGTATTTCTGGTTCTAGATCCTTGAGGAATCACCACATTGTCTTCCACAATGGTTGATTGAACTAATTTATGCTCCGACCAACAGTGTAAAAGCTTTTCTATTTCTCCACATCCTCTCCAGCATCTGTTGTTTCCTGACTTTTTAATGATCGCCATTCTAACTGGCGTGAGATGGTATCTCACTGTGGTTTTGATTTGCATTTCTGTAATGACCAGCGATGACGAGCTTTTTTTCGTATCTTTGTTGGCTGCATAAATGTTTTCTTTTGAGAAGTGTCCATTCATATCTTTCATCCACTTTTTGATGGGGTTGTTTGTTTTTTTTCGTGTAAATTTGTTTAAGTTCCGTCTAGATACTGGATATTAGCCCTGTGTCAGATGGATAGATTGCAAAAATTTTCTCCCATTCTGTAGGTTGCCTGTTCACTCTGATGATAGCTGCTTTTGCTGTGCAGAAGCTCTTTAGTTTAATTTGATCCCATTTGTCAATTTTGGCTTTTGTTGCCATTGACTTTGGTGTTTTAGTCATGAAGTCTTTGCCCATGCCTATGTTCTAAAAGGTATTGCCTAGGTTTTCTTCTAGGGTTTTTATTGTTTTAGGTCTTACATTTAAGTTTTTAATCCATCTTGAGTTAATTTTTGCATAAGGTGTAAGGAAGGGATCCAGTTTCAGTTTTCTGCATATGGCTAGCCAGGTTTCCCAACACCATTTATTAAATAGGGAATCCTTTCCGTATTGCTTGTTTTTGTCAGGTTTGTCAAAGATCAGATGGTTGTAAATGTGTGGCATTATTTCTGAGGCCTCTGTTCTGTTCCATTTGTTTATATATCTTTTTTGGTACCAGTACCATGCTGTTTACTGTAGACTTGTAGTATAGACTGAAGTCAGGTAGCATGATGCCTTTTTATTTACTGTGAAAATGTAATGTTTATTTTTAAATTTTTAAGTTATTTTAATTTACTTAAAACATGATCTCTAATTTTTACTTTCAAGGATAATAAATCGAAAGTACTATTTTATGTAGCTAACTACTGCTAGAACAAAATCTATATATTAATGGGATGTATTCAAAGCCAAGTCACTATCACTTTGCATTTGAATTTGCATTTTAATTGAATTGAAGGGGAAATAGACAATTCAACAATAACAGTTGGTGCCTTCAATATCACATGGATCACATCGCTAGGGCTACCATAATAAAACACTGCACTGAGTGTCTTAAACCACAGAATTTTATTTTCTCATGGTTCTGGAGGCTGGAATTCCAAGATCAAGGTGTTAACAGGGTTGGTTTTTCCAGAGGCTTTTTCTCATTGGCTAGCAGATGGCTGCCTTCTCTGTGGGACCTCACTTTGTCTGTAGGTGCACATCCCTGATATCTCCCTCTCTTCTCTTAAGGATACCAGTCACAGTGGATTAGGGCTCCACTACTCCATTGTAACGTACCCTTAGTTACCTCCTTAAGGATTCTGTCTCTAAATATAGCTACATTGGAGTTAGAACTTCAAAATATGAGTTTTAGAGGAATACAATTCAGCCCATAATACTCAATTTTCGATACCTGATTGAACAACTAAATAAAGATGTAACAGTTAGACAGTACTGCAAACCAACCAAACCTAAAAGGCATCTATAGAACATTCTACCTAACAACAAAAGAATGTAAAGGGAAATTTATAGCCCTGAATGCTTATATCAAGAAAAAAAGAAAAATCTCAAAGGCGTAAGCTAATCTCCCACCTGAAAACACTGGAAAAAGAAGAGTAAACCAAACCTAAACAAATAACAAGAAAAGAAATAAAGATCGGAGTAGAAATAAATAAAACAGAATTTAGAAAAGAGTAGAGAAAGCTAATCAAACTAAAATCCTGTCAAAACAAAATTGACAAACTTTTAGCTGGTTGATGAAGAAAGAAGAGAGAACACTCAAATTAGTAGAATCAGAAATGAAAGTGAGGACATTTTGTTTTCCGCACAGCAAAGGAAACAACAAAATGAAAAGGTAACTACAGAAAAGGGTCAAAAATTTCTAAACTAAAAAGTTAATATCCAAAATATGTACCCCATATGTATAAGGTTTTAATCTCCAATTCTATAAGAAACTTATACAACTCAATAACAAAAAAACACAAGTAACCCAATTAAAAAATGGGCAAAAGACCCAAATAGACATTCTTTCCAAAGAAGACATACAAATGACCAACAGGTATATGAATAGATGTTCAGCATCACTAATCATCAGAGAAATGCAAATCAAGACCACAATGAGATATTATCTCATACCTATTAGGATGGCTATAATAAAATATCAAAAGATAACAAGTGTTGATGAGGATGTAGAGAAAAGGGAACCGTTGTATACTATCAGTGGGCATGTAAGTTGGTACAGCCATTATGGAAAAGAGAATGGAAGTTCTTCAAAAAATAACAAATAGAAATATCATATTAGTTCATTTTCATACTGCTAGAAAAAAATGCCTGAGACTGGGTAATTTATAAAGGAAAGGGGTTTAATTGATTCACAGTACAGCATGTCTGAGGAGGCCTCAGGAAACTTACAATCGTGGTGGAAGGTGAAGGAGCAGCAAAGCACCTTCTTCACAAGGTGACAGGAAGGAGAAGGGCCAAGTGAAGGGAGAAGAGCCCCTTATAAAACCATCAGTTCCCCTGAGAACTCACTCACCATCCTTAGAACAGCATGGGGGAAACTGCCCCCATGATTCAATTACCTCTACATGGTCTCTCCCTTGACAAGTGGGGATTATGGGGATTAAAAGTCAAGATGAGATTTGAGTGGGGACACGAAGCCTAACCATATCATATGTAATTCAGAAACCTTACTTCTGAGTATATGTCCAAAATATATAAAATCACTATCTCAAAGAGATATCTGTACTCTCACATTCATTGCAGTGTTATTCACGGTAGCCAAGATACAGAAACAACCCAAATATCCTTCCATAGATAAATGGATAAAGAAAATATGGTATATGTACACAATGAAATATTATTCAGCCTTTAAAAAGAAGGAAATCCTGCCATTTACAACAAAATGGATGAACCTTAAGGGCATTATGCTAAGTGAAATAAGCCAGATAGAGAAATAATGCATGATCTCCCTTACATGTAAAATTTTTTAAAAAGTCAAACTCATGTTAATGGAGAGTAAAATGATGGTTACCAGGGGCTGGGGGATGGGGAAAAGGGGATATTGGTCAAACAGTACAAACCATCAGCTATAAGATGAGTAAGTGCTGGAGATCAATGGACAGCACTGTGACTATAGTTAACAGCATATTGTATACTTGAAATCTGCTAAGAGAGTAGATATCAAGTGTTGTTATACACACACGCAAGTAACTATGAGCTGATACACACAGTAATTAGTTTGGTTGTGGTAATCATTTAAAAATGTATACATATATAAAAGTATCTCACTGTACACCCTAAATATATGCAATTTTCATTTGTCAATTATACCTCAATAAAGCCAGAAAAATGAAAACAAAACCAAAAAACTAATACAGCAATATAGGAATAAAACTATACATCATGACCAAGTGGGATTTATCCCAGGAACATTAGTTTAGTTTAACATCCCCAAATCAATTAGTTATATATTTTATTTTACAATATATTTTATTATACATCATATAACAAAATAAAACATTTGTATGATTATCTCAATAGTTGCAGAAAAAGCATTTGACAAAACCAAACCATTTTGCATGATAAAAAACACTCAAAAACTAAGAATAGAACTTCCTCAACCTGATAAATGGCATCTACAAACAAACCCACTGCTAACATCATACTTACTTAATAGTGAAAGGAGGGTGCTTCTCACTGAGATCAGAACAAGACAAAAATGTATACTCTCACTACTTTCATTCAACACTCTACAGCAGGTTCTAGCCAGAGCAATTAGGCAAGAAAAAGGAAATAAAAGATATCCAGATTGGAAAGGAAGAAGTAAAACTATCTCTATTCACAGGTGACATATTACTGTTTTAAGGAAATTCTAATGAATTCACCAAAGAATTATTACAACTAATAAATGAGTTCAGCAAGGTTGTAGGATACAAAATCAATGCACAAAACTCAGTTGTATTTCATAAATTTACAATGGACAATTGAAAAAATGAAATTGGCCAGGTGTGGTGGCTCACGCCTGTAATCCAAGCACTTTGGAAGACTGAGGCAGGTGGATCACAAGGTCGGGAGATCAAGACCAGCCTGACCAACATGGTGAAATACTGCCTCTACTAAAAATACAAAAATTAGCCAGGCCTGGTGGTGGGCGCCTGTAATCCCAGACACTTTGGGGGGCTGAGGCAGGAGAATCACTTGAACCCGGCAGGAGGAAGTTGAAGTGAGCCAAGATTGTGCCATTGCACTCCAGCCTGGGTGACAGAGCGAGACTCCGTCTCAAAAGAAAAAAAAAGAAAAAAAAGAAAAAAGAAAATTAAGAGGCCAGGCACGTGGCTCATGCCTGTAATCCCAGAACTTTGGGAAGCCGAGGCGGGCGATCACGAGGTCAGGAGATTGAGACAATCCTGGCTAACATGGTGAAACCCCCCGTCTCTACTAAAAATACAAAAAAAAAATTAGCCAGGCATGGTGGCAGGCGCCTGTAGTCCCAGCTACTCGGGATGCTGAGGCAGGAGAATGGCGTAAGCCTGGGAGGAGGAGCTTGCAGTGAGCCAAGATCGCACCACTGCACTCCAGCCTGGAGGAAGTTGCGAGACTCCATCTCAAAAAAAAAAAAAAAGAAAATTAAGAAAACAATTCCATTCATAATATCATTAAAAAGAATAAAGTACTTAGGAATAAATGTAACAAAAGAAATGCAAATGTATACTCTAAAAGCTATGGAACATTGTTGAAAGAAATTTAAAAAGTTTTAACAAAACAAAAAATATATACAGATCTGATAACTTAACATTGTTAAGATGACAATACTCTCCAAATTAACCCACAGAATCAATGAATTCCCTATCAGAATCCTAGCTGACTTCCTTGTAGAAATTGACAAGCTGATTCTAAAGTTAATATACAATTGCAAGGGACCCAGAGGAACTGAAACAATCCTGATAAAGCAGTACAAAGTAGGAGGACTCACACTTGTCAATTTCAAAACCTCCTGCAAGGCAATGGTAATCAAGACAAGGTGGTTCTGGCATAAGGATAGATACATAGGTCAATGAATAGATTTGAGAGTCCAAAAATAAACCTATGTGTCTATTTAACAACCTTTGAATGGCTGCCAAAACCATTCAATGGGGAATGAATTGTCTCTTCAACAAGTGGTGCTAGGACAACTTGATAAGCACATGCAAAAAATGAAGTTGGACCCATACCTCACACCATATACAAAATTTACTAAAAATAGACCAAAGATCAATATGAAGAACTAAAACTATAAAGCTTTTAGAGGAAAACGTAGGTGGAAAATCTTCATGGCCTTGGTTTTGACAAAGACTTCTTTAATATGACAGGCTATGCATGAAAAACAAAAGCAAAAGTAGATAAATTGGACTTAATCAAAATTAAAAACTCTTGTGCATCAAGGGACACAATTAAAAAAGCAAAGGATAAAACACAGAGAAAATATTTGCAAATCATATATCTGATAAAGATTTAATATTCAGGATATATAAAGAACTCTTACAAATCCATTATAACCAACCTAATTAAAAAATGGGCAAGGGATTTGAATAGATTTCTCCAAGGAAGATATACGAGTGGCCAATAAGTACATAAAAGAATGTTTGACATCATTATCAGGGGAAATACAAATCAAAACCTCCATGAAATACTTCTTCACATTAACTATGGTGACTAGAAAAAAAAGGTCAGATAACAACAAATGTTGGTGAGGATGGGGAGAAATCAGAATCCTCATACCCTGCTGGAGGGATATAATGGGTGCAGCTGCTTTGGAGAACATCTAGCAGTTCCTCACATCATTAAACATAGAATTACCATATACCTTAGTCCCTTCAGACTGCTATAATGAAACACCACAGACTGGGAGGCTTATAAACAACAAAAATTTACTTCTCACAGTTCTGGAGGCTGGGAAGTCCAAGATCAAGGCATCACCCGATTCTGTGTCTAGTGAGGGCCCACTTCCCTCTAGACAGTCATTTCCTCACTGTGGCATCACATGGTGGAAGGGACAAGAGTCCTCTCTGGGACCTCTTTTATAAGGACATGAATCCCATTAATGAGTGCTCTGCCCTCACAACCTAATCACCTGCCACAGGCCCCAGCTCCTAATATCATCATCTTTGGGATTAGGATTTCAATATCTGAATTTGGGGCAGAGGTCGGGGGAGATAGATAAACTTTCAGGACACACACACACACGGAATCTAAAAGAAATGAAAACATCTATCCACACAAGAACTTGTACATGAATGTTTATAGGAGTATTATCCATAATAGCCCAAAAGGTAGAACCAACCCAAATGTTCATTAACAGATGGATAAACAAAATATGGTGTTTCTACACCATTAATATTATTCAGCCAAACAAAGGAATGAAGATGCTAAAAAATGGATGAACCTTGTAAACTTTATGCTAAGCGAAAGAAACCAATCACAAAAGTCCACATATTGTGTGACTTCATTCACATGAAAGTCCAGGATAGGGGAAATCTATAGAAAGAGAGATAGATGAGTGGCTGCCTAGGTTGGGGGGTGCAGAGTTTAGAGCAGAGGAGGGTGATGGCTAAAAGGCTTTGTGAGGTGATGAAAGTGTTCCAAAACTGACTATGGTGATGGTTTCACAAATATATTAACCCATTAATCTGTGCACTTTAAATGGGTGAATCGTATGGTACATGAGCATAAATCTGCTTTATAAAAAGTGATAATTAGTACAAAATCAATTCCAGAAAGTTTTTACATTTTTATTCTTCATATGTACTAAGCAGTTGCACCCAACACTGCCCAGGAATCACTGGTATCTGTGGGTTTAGCTCTACCTTTATGGTAGAGCAGTGGCAGACTCTGACAGGACTGGCCACGCTAAAGCAGCAGCCTCTCATTCTGCTAATTGCATGTAGGACTCATGTGTGAACGCCAGACTCACCTCCTGCGAGCATGTATCTTGTCCACAAGGGCTTCAGAGCGACCCCCCATTCCCCACTTTATTGTCTTGTCTTCACTTGGCTCCAAATTTGTTGATCATAAAAGCTCTGATGATAACTTTGTGCTTTAAAGAAATAACTAAATTGTGGACTCACCCATAGATGGGTGGCTCATTGTATTAAAAAATAAAAAGGCATGAGCACCTTTTTATACAAAAATAAATTGAGACAAGATTTGTTTCAACAGTGGATACGTTTGGAAGACCTAGAACCTCTTGACTTCGTATTTCTTACAGGGGGAGATCTGCCCTCCCACCCAACACAAAATCCTGAGGAATGCATTAAAAAATATATATACATTTGCATCAGGAAGATAAAGCAAAGGAGAAGGAGAGTAACACGTGGTGCAGGAAACAGCTGCCTGCGGTAGAAAGTGGGCTAACTTGAGGCAGGTGTAAAACTAAGAGAAACTCAGAGTGAGACTTTTTTGAAGGAGTGGAGTTAAAGCAGCAGGGAAGAAAAGGCAGAGCCTCGGCCTGGCGCGGTGGCTCACGCCTGTAATCCCAGCACTTTGGGAGGCCAAGGCGGGCGGATCACAAGGTCAAGAAATCGAGACCATCCTGGCTAACATGGTGAAACCCCACTTCTACTAAAAATACAAAAAATTAGCTGGGCATGGTGGCGGGCGCCTGTAGTCCCAGCTACTCGGGAGGCTGAGGCAGGAGAATGGCCTGAACCCGGGAGGCGGAGCTTGCAGTGAGCCGAGATCGCGCCACTGCACTCCAGCCTGGGGGACAGAGCGAGACTCCGTCTCAAAATAAATAAATAAATAAGCAAACAAACAAAAGGCAGAGCCTCAAGACTGCAGTAAAACCCACAGTGCGGGAACAGGTGCCCAAGGCCTGGGACAGTCCAAAGCTGAGGAGGCACAGCAGAGATAATTGTGTCCTTAGGATGTGGGTGTCAGGAACGTGGGCAGCTCCTGTCCAGGAGCTCCCCAACTGAAACGAGAATGAGGACTAAGGAGCAGGTTTCAAAAACCTGAAAAACGTCCATTGTGAGCAGCGGTGCTGCTCTCCCAACAGCTGTTGACCAGGGAGGCTGGCGAGGAACCTGCACAGGACGGACCCGAGCTCCACCACACTTGGGTGCCCGACGTGTGGGCCTAAGGGGCATAGAAAACGAGGTTGTGAGGATGCTCAAAGGGGAAAAACCGCCCTTGAGGTAGGAGCCCATTTCAAATTTCTAAATTTCCAAGCTGGTAGCATTGTTTCAAGGGCCCTTCTTTGGGAGAGCAGGGTGGTGCCTGGGTGGATCCCGCCTCCGCCCAGTTGTAGTGAGTGCAGGAAGCTAAAACTGACCCCCTAATTCCCCCCAACTACATTCAAGTTCATGGTTGGCGTTGGCCGACTGGCATCCTGGGGGTCTGGAATGAACTGCACTGTCTCCCGCACAGCCCATCTCTGGGAAGCTAGTGAGCACTGCCGGGAGCTTTGACCGAGCCCAGGCCTCTTGTGAAAGCGGCTATGCCAGCTGCTTGTGGAGTGAGGGCTCTGTTCATCTTACCTGCCCTCATACATAAATCACTTGCAGGGCTTGTTAAACCTTATTTATGTGTAGTTTACACATAATGAACTTCATCAATTTGTAAGTGCATAGTTCCACGAGTGTTGAAAAATTCACACACCTGTATAGAGTTTATGTATTTGGCTCAATGTTCTAGTTCACAGCAAGAGGCCACACTTGGCATAAATACTCTGACATGTAGAGTCAAATCTTTATTTCAGAAAAATATTCTTGAATTGTTGTGGGATCTCCTTCGTCTTCTACGTTTTTCTTTCTAATCTTGTTAATGTATTTCTTTATTTCTTTTTCATTGTCTCACTTTTCTCCTTTGTATTTTTCTAGATATTTTACTTTTCTCTCTAGCGAGTTTTATCTTCCTTGGGATCCCTGTCATTTCGTCTTTGTATCTAAAGTGGTTTTATCTTTGTGCCCCGCTCCTTTCCACTTCCCATTCCCCTCCTGCCATTCAGCCCATGGCTCCTCCCTCAGGCCGTGTCCTTCTGGAGTTTCTGTATTTCTGCGTTGTGGTGATCCTTCATGCTGCCGTGGTTTCATGACAATGTACACATGTATGGCCCGCAGCTCGTCCATCAGGCCATGTCCTTCTGGAGTTTCTCTATTTCTGCATTGTGGTGATCAGATTAGATTAGCTTCTGGACATCAAAGGTGGGTTTTCTTTTTCCTCATCTTTAATATTAGCATATCAAGGACCTACAAAGGGGAGAGTCGAGTCATTTTGTGGACTTCCCAAAAACAAACACTTCTAAGAGAGGACAGAGCTCACATTTGTAGATTCCTGCTCCCCTTCTCTCCTGATAACATTCCCATGAATTATCATGGGCTATAAATCACCTCCTTCCATGATGCTGGTGTGTACTGTTCAGTCCTGAGGCTTTTCAAGGTTCCCAAGTCGACAGTGTCTTCACCAAGTCCTACAGGCTCCCTCATGGCAGATACAGCCCAAAAGGAATGTCTACTGTCATAACGAATATAGGACCAGATGCCATCAGGAGAGGTTCATAAAACCTGGAGAGTAAGGTGAAGACATGAAGACATTAAAGAAATAATAGCTGTCTTCAGATTTTTGAAAAATGATCTTCTGGACTGCATGATGGGTGGCATTGGAGGCACTAAAGGGGGACCTGTAGGAAGTTTCTACGGTGACCAGACTGTTCCTTGGCACAGTGCAGCCTTCATCATCTCTCACAGTGACCGACAAAAGCAACTCTGGATTCTGATAATTCTTTACAACTGGGCAGCTAAGAAGTCAGGGACTCTGTTGCAAATGATTCATATCTCATTCTCTTTTAAGTAGTGAGATCTTGGTCATATACATCATGTAAACTTTGTCTTCAGCATTTTAATCTGTAAAATGTAGATAAATAATTCTAACAGATCCCATGGACTTATTGGAAAAATAAAATTGTGCAAGCAATTAGGTAATGCTACTAGCACTTGCTCACTTGTATTTGGGTTGAGGATTTAGAAGAAAAATAGATTCTGTGGTAGGTTTCATTGTGCCCCCTTCTCCTAAAGTTCTCCAAATCCCTGGAAGCTATGAATTGAAAAAAGGGTCTTTGCAGATGTAACTAAGTTAAAGATCTCAAGATGAGATCATCCTGTTACCTGCGTGGGTCCTAAATCTTACAAGAGCCATCCAGAGGGAGATGAGGCAGACAGAAGGGAGGACACAGGAGACAGAGATGTGTGAAGACAGGAGAAAGAGGTGGAGTGGTTCATCCTCAAGCCTGGGAACTCACGGATTGTTGGCAGCCACTGGGAGGCAGGAGAGCGACCTGGATTCTCTCTAGAGCCCTCAGAAGGAGCCAGCCTTGCTGACATCTTGACAGGACTGTATGGCTTGGGGACTCGGGGATATGAGAAACTTGGGAACAAAGGCTCCAGATGGCCAGACCATGTGACATCTCCACTTCCATAGTAAACACATTTTGTTGATGATATTTCTTAGTCTTCATGGTTGCTAAATTATTTCACTTGCTGTCTCAGAACTTGCAGCATTTTGTTAGAAAATGGTGCTGACAGCCACTGTGAGAATGCCTGGAGGGTTTGTAGCTCAAAACTGGGCAATGTGACTTTAGTCTTGAAAATACCTTTTTAATTAAAAAGAAAATGTCAGTGAGGGATTTGATAACAATGTTTCATATGAAGACTAGTAATGAAATTTTGCCTTATCTAAACTGGAGTTCAGTTAAATATTTATACAAACCAGAGGGTATGAAGAAGGAAGTTGGAGAATTAAATATAATATTTTATGAGCTAAAGTTAGCAGCACAGAGATGCTGTGACAAAATATAAATAACAGAATTTCAAATACTCGTAAAGCCAGGAAGGAGAACGTTAGTTAACATCCCAGGCAAATCACCAAAATCCTCCTAGAATTCTGTTCCTGTTTCAACATTTCCTTACTGTTAAAAAATAAAACCTTTTAAAAAATATTTTATGCTGTAAATTAAAATCATATTTTTCTTGCTTTTTTAGGACTGTGTCTAGTGAAAATACTTTAATGGGGATGAATAAACAGAGGAATATATAATTATGCATGTGCATTGAGTAAAGTATATTTTCATCCATAAAATACAAGTTGAGCTTAGATTGTTGTATTAGTTTTCTCTCACTGCATAACAAATTACTCCAAAAGTTGGCTGCTTACAATTGACAACATTTCTGAGGGTTGGGAATGGAGGAGCTGCTCAGCTGAGGGGTTCTGGCTCAGGGTCCCTTAAAGGTCATGGTCAGCTCTCAGTGGGGACCGTGGTCAGCTGAAGGCTCAGCTGGGGCTGAAGCATCTACCTCCAGGCTCTTCACATACCTCCTCCTCTCACAAACCTCTCCACAGGCTGCTCCTAAAGGGGCAGTATGCTTTGCCCAGAGCAAGAGACATGAGAGGGGAAGAAGAGGGAAAGAGACAGAGAGAGAGAGAGAAAGAGAGTCAACAGGGAGCAACTAAGACGGAAGCCACAGGACTTCATAACCTAATCTCCAAGTGACATTCCCTGGACCCTGACCAGCCTTGCAACACTATGGGAGCAGCTGACCCAGGGTGTGGTGTGGAAGCCAGGAGGGGGCCCTATGGGCCATCTTGGAGGCCACCATCATTGTTAAGTGTCTTCTAATTTGAAATAATCTCTTCCATTTTTAGATGGTATACTGTCTCTGGATAAATATTTCATCTAGTTTGTGATATTCACATTCACTCTGTACATTAATTTCCCTGGTTTCTCTGGATCTTGCATCCCACCTGGTCTGCATATTTTACCCATTTTCTTCCTCACTTTCCCCCGCCCCCACCATTATTTCTTATAACATTAAAATGTGGTGGAGGAAACCTGCCAGGGGTTGAGTTGTGTCTCTCCCTCTGAAGTTCATATGTCGAAGTCCTAACCCTGGGTACCTCAGAATATGTTTGTATTTGGAGATAGGGCCTTTAAAGAGAGGTCATATGGATGTGCCCTGATCCAATATGACTCATGTCCTTATAAGAAGAAGAGATTAGGAGACAAAAAACAGAGGCCAGGGGATGGACACATGAGGAGACAGCAAGAGGATGGTCATCTGCAAACCAAGGAGAGAGGCCTCAGGAGGAACCAACACTGTGATCAACTTGGTCTTGGGCTTCCAGACTCCAGAACTGTGAGAACTAATTCTATTGTTTAAGCTGCCCAGTCTGTAGGATTTTGCTGTGGCATCCCTAGAAGACTAATACAAAACCTTATCAAAGTTTACATTAGCAAATATGATTGACATAAAGCAGCAATGACTCAATGATGGCTGGTCAGGTTGGCTAATCCCCAGCCACTTCTCCACGTCACAAAATATTTGACCTTATATGAAGTATCAGGTGACTTAGGTGAAAGAAGCCATCGGATTCTTCCCATTGGAGATCCCTTTCCTCTGCTGCACAACTTCTTGATATTTTCTCTGAAATTCTCTGTTATTTTCTTACCACCTCTTTGATGGATTTTTGCACTTATGGCACTTCAATATTGTAACAGAAAATCTTGGCAGGATCACAAGTGGCTTTATTATGCAAGAACCAACATTTTAGAGGTTTCAGAACATCAAGATATTTAGGGGAGCAGCCAATGTATAGTTTTATGCCCATTTATTCTCTGCCTAAAACAACAAGTAACACCATTCCCACGGCATCACAATTGTTCTGGCCCTATGTATGTTGACATTTCCTCCTCCTCCTCCTCCTCCTTCTGGTCTTCTTTGTCATCATCCTCCGGCTCCTTCTTCTTTTAGATTTCTGCTAGGAAATCAACCTCCCCTCCCACTTTGGAGAAGTGGATACAGAAATTTTTACCTGAAACAGGGTCTCTGTTAACAAGTTTTCTTTCTTTTTTTTATTTTTTTTATTTTTTATTTTTAATGTTTTTTTTTTTATTATACTCTAAGTTTTAGGGTACATGTGCACATTGTGCAGGTTAGTTACATATGTATACATGTGCCATGCTGGTGCGCTGCACCCACTAACGTGTCATCTAGCATTAGGTATATCTCCCAATGCTATCCCTCCCCCCTCCCCCGACCCCACCACAGTCCCCAGAGTGTGATATTCCCCTTCCTGTGTCCATGTGATCTCATTGTTCAATTCCCACCTATGAGTGAGAATATGCGGTGTTTGGTTTTTTGTTCTTGTGATAGTTTACTGAGAATGATGGTTTCCAATTTCATCCATGTCCCTACAAAGGACATGAACTCATCATTTTTTATGGCTGCATAGTATTCCATGGTGTATATGTGCCACATTTTCTTAATCCAGTCTATCATTGTTGGACATTTGGGTTGGTTCCAAGTCTTTGCTATTGTGAATAGTGCCGCAATAAACATACGTGTGCATGTGTCTTTATAGCAGCATGATTTATAGTCCTTTGGGTATATACCCAGTAATGGGATGGCTGGGTCAAATGGTATTTCTAGTTCTAGATCCCTGAGGAATCGCCACACTGACTTCCACAATGGTTGAACTAGTTTACAGTCCCACCAACAGTGTAAAAGTGTTCCTATTTCTCCACATCCTCTCCAGCACCTGTTGTTTCCTGACTTTTTAATGATTGCCATTCTAACTGGTGTGAGATGATATCTCATAGTGGTTTTGATTTGCATTTCTCTGATGGCCAGTGATGATGAGCATTTCTTCATGTGTTTTTTGGCTGCATAAATGTCTTCTTTTGAGAAGTGTCTCTTCATGTCCTTCGCCCACTTTTTGATGGGGTTGTTTGTTTTTTTCTTGTAAATTTGTTTGTGTTCATTGTAGATTCTGGATATTAGCCCTTTGTCAGATGAGTAGGTTGCGAAAATTTTCTCCCATGTTGTAGGTTGCCTGTTCACTCTGATGGTAGTTTCTTTTGCTGTGCAGAAGCTCTTTAGTTTAATTAGATCCCATTTGTCAATTTTGGCTTTTGTTGCCATTGCTTTTGGTGTTTTGGACATGAAGTCCTTGCCCACGCCTATGTCCTGAATGGTAATGCCTAGGTTTTCTTCTAGGGTTTTTATGGTTTTAGGTCTAACGTTTAAATCTTTAATCCATCTTGAATTGATTTTTGTATAAGGTGTAAGGAAGGGATCCAGTTTCAGCTTTCTACATATGGCTAGCCAGTTTTCCCAGCACCATTTATTATATAGGGAATCCTTTCCCCATTGCTTGTTTTTGTCAGGTTTGTCAAAGATCAGATAGTTGTAGATATGCGGCATTATTTCTGAGGGCTCTGTTCTGTTCCATTGATCTATATCTCTGTTTTGGTACCAGTACCATGCTGTTTTGGTTACTGTAGCCTTGTAGTATAGTTTGAAGTCAGGTAGTGTGATGCCTCCAGCTTTGTTCTTTTGGCTTAGGATTGACTTGGCGATGCGGGCTCTTTTTTGGTTCCATATGAACTTTAAAGTAGTTTTTTCCAATTCTGTGAAGAAAGTCATTGGTAGCTTGATGGGGATGGCATTGAATCTGTAAATTACCTTGGGCAGTATGGCCATTTTCACGATATTGATTCTTCCTACCCATGAGCATGGAATGTTCTTCCATTTGTTTGTGTCCTCTTTTATTTCCTTGAGCAGTGGTTTGTAGTTCTCCTTGAAGAGGTCCTTCACATCCCTTGTAAGTTGGATTCCTAGGTATTTTATTCTCTTTGAAGCAATTGTGAATGGGAGTTCACTCATGATTTGGCTCTCTGTTTGTCTGTTGTTGGTGTATAAGAATGCTTGTGATTTTTGTACATTGATTTTGTATCCTGAGACTTTGCTGAAGTTGCTTATCAGCTTGAGGAGATTTTGGGCTGAGACAATGGGGTTTTCTAGATAAACAATCATGTCGTCTGCAAACAGGGACAATTTGACTTCCTCTTTTCCTAATTGAATACCCTTTATTTCCTTCTCCTGCCTGACTGCCCTGGCCAGAACTTCCAACACTATGTTGAATAGGAGCGGTGAGAGAGGGCATCCCTGTCTTGTGCCAGTTTTCAAAGGGAATGCTTCCAGTTTTTGCCCATTCAGTATGATATTGGCTGTGGGTTTGTCATAGATAGCTCTTATTATTCTGAAATACGTCCCATCAATACCTAATTTATTGAGAGTTTTTAGCATGAAGGGTTGTTGAATTTTGTCAAAGGCTTTTTCTGCATCTATTGAGATAATCATGTGGTTTTTGTCTTTGGCTCTGTTTATATGCTGGATTACATTTATTGATTTGCGTATATTGAACCAGCCTTGCATCCCAGGGATGAAGCCCACTTGATCATGGTGGATAAGCTTTTTGATGTGCTGCTGGATTCGGTTTGCCAGTATTTTATTGAGGATTTTTGCATCAATGTTCATCAAGGATATTGGTCTAAAATTCTCTTTTTTGGTTGTGTCTCTGCCCGGCTTTGGTATCAGAATGATGCTGGCCTCATAAAATGAGTTAGGGAGGATTCCCTCTTTTTCTATTGATTGGAATAGTTTCAGAAGGAATGGTACCAGTTCCTCCTTGTACCTCTGGTAGAATTCGGCTGTGAATCCATCTGGTCCTGGACTCTTTTTGGTTGGTAAACTATTGATTATTGCCACAATTTCAGAGCCTGTTATTGGTTTATTCACAGATTCAACTTCTTCCTGGTTTAGTCTTGGGAGAGTGTATGTGTCGAGGAATGTATCCATTTCTTCTAGATTTTGTAGTTTATTTGCGTAGAGGTGTTTGTAGTATTCTCTGATGGTAGTTTGTATTTCTGTGGGATCGGTGGTGATATCCCCTTTATCATTTTTTATTGTGTCTATTTGATTCTTCTCTCTTTTTTTCTTTATTAGTCTTGCTAGCGGTCTATCAATTTTGTTGATCCTTTCAAAAAACCAGCTCCTGGATTCATTGATTTTTTGAAGGGTTTTTTGTGTCTCTATTTCCTTCAGTTCTGCTCTGATTTTAGTTATTTCTTGCCTTCTGCCAGCTTTTGAATGTGTTTGCTCTTGCTTTTCTAGTTCTTTTAATTGTGATGTTAGGGTGTCAATTTTGGATCTTTCCTGCTTTCTCTTGTAGGCGTTTAGTGCTATAAATTTCCCTCTACACACTGCTTTGAATGCATCCCAGAGATTCTGGTATGTGGTGTCTTTGTTCTCGTTGGTTTCAAAGAACATCTTTATTTCTGCCTTCATTTCGTTATGTACCCAGTAGTCATTCAGGAGCAGGTTGTTCAGTTTCCATGTAGTTGAGTGGCTTTGAGTGAGATTCTTAATCCTGAGTTCTAGTTTGATTGCACTGTGGTCTGAGAGATAGTTTGTTATAATTTCTTTTCTTTTACATTTGCTGAGGAGAGCTTTACTTCCAACTATGTGTTCAATTTTGGAATAGGTGTGGTGTGGTGCTGAAAAAAATGTATATTCTGTTGATTTGGGGTGGAGAGTTCTGTAGATGTCTATTAGGTCTGCTTGGTGCAGAGCTGAGTTCAATTCCTGGGTATCCTTGTTGACTTTCTGTCTCGTTGATCTGTCTAATGTTGACAGTGGGGTGTTAAAGTCTCCCATTATTAATGTGTGGGAGTCTAAGTCTCTTTGTAGGTCACTCAGGACTTGCTTTATGAATCTGGGTGCTCCTGTATTGGGTGCATAAATATTTAGGATAGTTAGCTCCTCTTGTTGAATTGATCCCTTTACCATTATGTAATGGCCTTCTTTGTCTCTTTTGATCTTTGTTGGTTTAAAGTCTGTTTTATCAGAGACTAGGATTGCAACCCCTGCCTTTTTTTGTTTTCCATTGGCTTGGTAGATCTTCCTCCATCCTTTTATTTTGAGCCTATGTGTGTCTCTGCACGTGAGATGGGTTTCCTGAATACAGCACACTGATGGGTCTTGACTCTTTATCCAACTTGCCAGTCTGTGTCTTTTAATTGCAGAATTTAGTCCATTTATATTTAAAGTTAATATTGTTATGTGTGAATTTGATCCTGTCATTATGATGTTAGCTGGTGATTTTGCTCATTAGTTGATGCAGTTTCTTCCTAGTCTCGATGGTCTTTACATTTTGGCATGATTTTGCAGCGGCTGGTACCGGTTGTTCCTTTCCATGTTTAGCGCTTCCTTCAGGAGCTCTTTTAGGGCAGGCCTGGTGGTGACAAAATCTCTCAGCATTTGCTTGTCTATAAAGTATTTTATTTCTCCTTCACTTATGAAGCTTAGTTTGGCTGGATATGAAATTCTGGGTTGAAAATTCTTTTCTTTAAGAATGTTGAATATTGGCCCCCACTCTCTTCTGGCTTGTAGGGTTTCTGCCGAGAGATCCGCTGTTAGTCTGATGGGCTTTCCTTTGAGGGTAACCTGACCTTTCTCTCTGGCTGCCCTTAACATTTTTTCCTTCATTTCAACTTTGGTGAATCTGACAATTATGTGTCTTGGAGTTGCTCTTCTCGAGGAGTATCTTTGTGGCGTTCTCTGTATTTCCTGAATCTGAACGTTGGCCTGCCTTGCTAGATTGGGGAAGTTCTCCTGGATAATATCCTGCAGAGTGTTTTCCAACTTGGTTCCATTCTCCGCATCACTTTCAGGTACACCAATTAGACGTAGATTTGGTCTTTTCACATAGTCCCATATTTCTTGGAGGCTTTGCTCATTTCTTTTTATTCTTTTTTCTCTAAACTTCCCTTCTCACTTCATTTCATTCATTTCATCTTCCATTGCTGATACCCTTTCTTCCAGTTGATCGCATCGGCTCCTGAGGCTTCTGCATTCTTCACGTAGTTCTCGAGCCTTGGTTTTCAGCTCCATCAGCTCCTTTAAGCACTTCTCTGTATTGATTATTCTAGTTATACATTCTTCTAAATTTTTTTCAAAGTTTTCAACTTCTTTGCCTTTGGTTTGAATGTCCTCCCGTAGCTCAGAGTAATTTGATCGTCTGAAGCCTTCTTCTCTCAGCTCGTCAAAATCATTCTCCATCCAGCTTTGTTCCGTTGCTGGTGAGGAACTGCGTTCCTTTGGAGGAGGAGAGGCGCTCTGCGTTTTAGAGTTTCCAGTTTTTCTGTTCTGTTTTTTCCCCATCTTTGTGGTTTTATCTACTTTTGGTCTTTGATGATGGTGATGTACAGATGGGTTTTCGGTGTAGATGTCCTTTCTGGTTGTTAGTTTTCCTTCTAACAGACAGGACCCTCAGCTGCAGGTCTGTTGGAATACCCTGCCGTGTGAGGTGTCAGTGTGCCCCTGCTGGGGGGGTGCCTCCCAGTTAGGCTGCTCGGGGGTCAGAGGTCAGGGACCCACTTGAGGAGGCAGTCTGCCCGTTCTCAGATCTCCAGCTGCGTGCTGGGAGAACCACTGCTCTCTTCAAAGCTGTCAGACAGGGACACTTAAGTCTGCAGAGGTTACTGCTGTCTTTTTGTTTGTCTGTGCCCTGCCCCCAGAGGTGGAGCCTACAGAGGCAGGCAGGCCTCCTTGAGTTGTGGTGGGCTCCACCCAGTCCGAGCTTCCCGGCTGCTTTGTTTACCTAAGCAAGCCTGGGCAATGGCGGGCGCCCCTCCCCCAGCCTCGTTGCCGCCTTGCAGTTTGATCTCAGACTGCTGTGCTAGCAATCAGCGAGATTCCGTGGGCGTAGGACCCTCTGAGCCAGGTGTGGGATATAGTCTCGTGGTGCGCCGTTATTTAAGCCGGTCTGAAAAGCGCAATATTCGGGTGGGAGTGACCCGATTTTCCAGGTGCGTCCGTCACCCCTTTCTTTGACTCGGAAAGGGAACTCCCTGACCCCTTGCGCTTCCCAGGTGAGGCAATGCCTCGCCCTGCTTCGGCTCGCGCACGGTGCGCGCACACACTGGCCTGCGCCCACTGTCTGGCACTCCCTAGTGAGATGAACCCGGTACCTCAGATGGAAATGCAGAAATCACCCGTCTTCTGCGTCGCTCACGCTGGGAGCTGTAGACCGGAGCTGTTCCTATTCGGCCATCTTGGCTCCTCCACCTTCTTTCTTTTTTCTTTTTTTTTTTTTTGACCTTTTTTATGATCTCCCTTAGGGAAGAAATGTTGGCTGTAGTGAGATCATATTATACATAACCATACCTCATTATGTTTCTTAATAGCACCATCAAACAGTAAGCTGGCAGTTTGGGGGCACAACCAGGTTTCCTGGCAATAAAGAGAACTGTCTGCCACACAGTGTGGCATTGTAGAGATCTTGGGCACATTAGGTTGTATCCACATTTCATTGTCCTGTTGAAGGCACAGTGCAGGCCTGTGGCCTTATTGGAAGGGAGGAGATGGGGAGTCCTCTAAATGGGGAAGATCTGCTCAGCAACAGACCTGGGGCAGGTCCTTAGGCTTCCATGTGAGAGGGGACTGCTATCTCTGAATCTCACTCTGCTCTGAACTTCTAGGAGCCTTGCCAAGCCTGAGACCCTCTGGTGGTGGGAATTACAAACAGCTTCAGCCAGGCTGCAGCCAAACTGGAGAAACGCTGTGAGCATCACAGTCAGAGCCTCAAAGAGGAAGTTGCGAGAAGGCGACCCAAGTATTTAATTGCCAATGATTTCAACTGTCCGTTTGCCATTGGCTTTTTGGGTCTTGATAGTCTTTTTCCAAGCCTCAAGCTTATCTTGCCATGCTATGAAAATCAAGGGAAGAGCTGTGTGAACTCTTTGGCTGAAGTGTTAAAGGAAAAGTACCTTCTCCCCTTTAATTGACAGATCCTCAAGTGGCTGGTGTGTACCATGGAGTAGCTGTTAGGACCTCCTCACATGAGGACTTTTCCTCTGACGCCAGGATAGCTTGAGGCTGGCAAAAGTCCTTATGCTTCCTGACTGAGAATTATCTATCAATTAATTGGTTAATTTAAAAATATTCTTGAGTACTTATTATATTTTAGGCACTGTGGGGAATGCAAAAAAGCAAAAGCAGACGACATGTTAGTTTGTCCTCCATTACAACAAAAGATAATTGGAGAAATAAAATCTGATCTTCTTGACTAATAGTCGATCCGTGATAGTAAAGAATCAATGTCAAATTGATAGAAGCGCAACAGAGAGCTCTTTGGATGACCAGTTCTAGATATCATTGAAGCTGTACTCATTTTGTTATCTCCACATGAAGAGTTTAAAGAAAAGTATGGATTATTTTCTGTTCTGATTCATCAAGAACTGTGGCCTTTCTGAGGCTCAATGCGGGTCCTTGGCACTCAGAATTGATCAACACTTTCTCCAGGTCAATGTCACCATTGTCCCTTGTGGCTGTGCTGTCCCACACATGACACTGCATTCCTTGAATTCTATAGGCACTGTTTCCCCACCACTTAGCTCATGGGAAGTGGGAGTGAGAGCAGAGATTTGGGTGGTGATGAGAAAGGTATTAGTCTGACATGGCATTTTGGGTTTGTTTGTTTGTTTTTTTTTTGAGGGACTACATTAATGATTTTGTGGTTTTCTGACTGTTTTACTTTCCCTTAAAAGTACCATCTTCATGAAGGTGTTTCCAGTGTTAATCCTTTGATGATTTATTTTGATGTATGGGCACAGTCTTGTATTAGAAATATGTGACTCTAGTTTACCAGGAGTAAACTTCTTTCACCCTCCAAAGCATCCTGGTCTGGATGAAAATTATATGGCAAGCCTAGCTTGTCTAGTATACATACCTTTAACCTCACACTCAGGCATTATGTTACAATGAAGGTAAATTTCAGAGCAAATTCTGGTATATGTAGACCCACAAGCAAGCAGACATAAAACTCGTCACAACCTGTTCTGTATGTTTGATAAAATCTCAGCTCTGTCCTCAGCTGAACCCTGATGGTTTATTTAAGGCTGACGCTACAGGATTTCAGTGGCATGCTTCAGCTAACACTCTAGATAGAATTAGTTAATAGCTTCCTCAGGCAAGTGACTGGGACTCAGAACCTATGTAATCTGAGCCCAGGACATGATTCCAAAGTATACAGGATATTAAAAATCACTAAATGTTATACTCTGTTCATATAAGGGGGCAGTGGGTGCCTGTGCCATATTTCTATCCAATTCACATGTCTTGGGCATTACTAATATCAACAACAAAAGACCATTCTAACACCCATTGTGCTCATTAATAACATCACTGGTGTTGACGGAAGAGAAACTTGGCTGAAATACCAAGGAAATAGAGCCTGTGCAGATGCTAAGATGGGCTTTGGAAGGGAATCAGAAGAGTTGTGTCTCAAATTTAGAAGACACAGAGCAGCAAGTGTTCCAAGAACTGGAACTTCAGAGAGAAGTCAACAGCATCAACTGTGACAAGATGTCTGCTTTATGTGTCAAGAAGATCTTGGTGACTTGCCCAGTGGGGTTGAAGGGAGTGCAGAGGGTGGAAGCTAGACTGTGAGAGCTTGAAGAGTATGTGGTTGGGGAGCAAGTGGAAGTGGCAAGTATAGACAAGTCAGTCCCATTTGTGCTGCCACTTCAGTTTCATGGGCTGTTGTGTTACAGAGGCACTGCCTGAAGATTGCACCTTTGCATTGAATTTTGCAAGTGTGATCCTAAGAAGTCTTTCTCTGATGGGTTATTGTGAGTCTGAGCAGGAGGATGAGGCTGTGCAGTCCATCTATGTCACCCTATGTGAGATAGGTGTGTTAGTGTGTGCGTTGTGGGAGCAGGTATTTTGCTGCCCCCTTCATATACTTCCCTTTCTCTGGTACCCTGGATATTTTAGCCTTTAAGAGCTCTATCAGTGGCATTTTTGTCTTCTTCCTAAGACTTCTTGGGAGTTCTCTCTTCCTCTCTCATGGTATCAACAATGTATTTCTCAAGTCTGCATCTCCAGCTCAGACCTCTCCTTTAAATTTAGACTCACACATCTTATTGCCTACTGGATATTCTACAGACACCTCAAAGACTATGAATAATTGCATTGTCCTATGACTTTATATGTTATAACTTATTTAATCTCCATAATGACCCTATGATGTAGATTCTGTTACTATCTTTATTTTATGGATGAGGAAACTGAAGCATAGAGAGGTTAAATAATTTTCCTTAAAATACATGGCTCAAGAAAAAAAATAAATGGTATCCAAATAGGAAGAGAGGAAGTCAATCATATAATCTGTTTGCAGACGGTATGATTCTATACATAGAAAACCCCATAGTCTGTGCTCAAAACTCCTTGATCTGATAAAAACTTCAGCAAAGTTTTAGAATACAAACTGAATATACAAAAATCAGTAGCACTCCTATACACCAACAACATCCAAGCTGAGAGCCAAACCAAGAATGCAATCTCATTCACAATAGCCACAAAAAGAATACAATACCTAGGAATACTGCTAACCTGGAAAGCGGAAGATTTCTTCAACAAGAATTAAAAAACACTGCTGAGAGAAATCAGAGGTGACACAAACAAATGGAAAAGCATTCCACATTCATGGATAGGACGAATCAATATCATTAAAATGGCCATACTGCTAAATGCAATTTACAGATGCAATACTATTCATATCAAGCTACCAATAACATTTTTCACAGAATCAGCACAAAACCATCTAAAATTTATGTGGAACCAAAAAAGAGCCTAAGTAACCAAGACAATCCTAAGCAAAAAGAACAAAGCAGGAGGCATCATGCTACCTGTCTTAAAACTACACTACAGGGCTACAGTAACCAAAACACCATGGTACTGGTACAAAAACAGACACATAGACCAATGGAATGGAACAGAGAGCCCAGAAATAATGCCACACACCTGAAATCATCTAATCTTTGACAAAGTTGACAAAAACAAGCAATGGAGAAAGGACTCTCTATTCAATAAATGGTGCTGGGACAACTGGTTGGCCACATGCAGAAGACTGAAATTGGACTCCTTCCTTACACCATATACAAAAATCAACTCAAGATAGATTAAAGAGGTAAACACGTAAAACCCAAAACTATAAAGACCCTGGAAGACACCTGGCAATACCATTCTGGTCATAGGATCTGGCCAAGATTTCATGACAAAAACACCAAATGCAATTGCAACAAAAGCAAAAATTGTGAAATGGGACCTAATTAAACAAAAGAGCTTTTGCACAGCAAAAGAAACTATCAACAGGGTAAACAGACAATCTACCGAATGGGAGAAAATATTTGCAAGCTATTCATCCAATAAAGGCCTAACATCCAGAATCTATAAGGGACTTAAACAAATCAACAAATGAAAGACAAATAACCCCATTAAAAAGTGGGCAAACAACATGAACAGACACTTTTCAAAAGAAGACACACATGGTCAACACGCATATGAAAAAAATGCTCAAGATCACTAATCATCAGAGAAATGCAAATCAAAACCACAGTGAGATACCATCTCGCATTAGTCAGAATGGCTATTACTAAAAAGTCAAAAAATAACAGATGCTGGCAAGGTTGCAGAGAAAAAGGAAGGCATATACACTGCTGGTGGGAATGTACATTAGTTCAACCATTGTGGAAAGCAGTTTGGTGATTTCTTAAATAACTTGAAGCAGAATTACCATTCAACCCAGCAATCCCATTTTTGGGTATGTACCCAAAGGAATATAAATTTTTCTATCATAAAGACACATACATGTGTATGTTCAATGTAGCACTATTCACAATAGCAAAGACATGGAATCAACCTACATGCCCATCAATGATAGACCGGGTAAAGAAAATGTTGTACCTACTTCTTTACTATGGCTGCATAGTATTACATATATACCATTTAATGCTATGCAGCCATAAGAAAGAACGAGGTGATGTCCTTTGCAGCAACATGGATGGAGCCGAAGGCAATTATCCTAAGCGACCTAACACAGGAACAGAAAATCAAATACAGTATGTTCTCATTTACAAGTGTGAGCTAAACATTGAGTACATGTGGACACAAAGAAGGGAACAACAGACTTTGGAGCCTACTTAATGGTTGAAGGTGGGAGGAGAGAGAGGATAAAAAAATACCTGTTGGGTACTATGCTTATTACCTGAATGGTGAAATAATCTGTACACCAACTCCCGTGACATGCAATTGACCAATATAAAAACCCTGCACATTTACCCCTGAGCCTAAAATAAAAGTTAAAAAAAATGCATAGCTAACAAATGGAGAAGCTGGCTATGTACCCAGGCTGCAGAGTTGGTGTTCTCAAATAGTACACTAGGCTGCCTTTCAACTGTTCCAAACAGAATTCATCAGTGTTCCCCAATCTATTTCTCCTCCCCTTATCGCTATTTGAATTAACATCACTATTATCTATCTTTTCTTCCCTTGCTCTTGCTAAGATCACCTTTTCCAGTTGTTCCTTTATGGGGTCAAAAGTCTGTGGGAACAAAAGATGTTCCCTTGGAGGCCATGCCTATATCTAGACCTCATTCCCTGTACCCAAAACCTTGGAATTCTCCACCCAGTGACCCAATTAGCTTCTACAGTTTGCTCAGGCCTCCTCTGCAGGTCTGTCCTTGTATGGCCAGACCACATGATTGGTATTTGCACACTTGGGCTTGAAGCATTTGTGAGGCTGTGGGTAGAGCTTAGACATAGGAGCTATGGAGTCCATACCATGAAAAGCCACACCTTATGGTGTGTGATTGAGCTGATGCAGGTGACAATTAACCTATGTCTTTCCACTTTCAAACCTACTGTACTCTGATTTGTGATGCTGGGCCTGGACTCTTCAAATCACATTTCTGCTCTACCAGCTGGCCCTCTATGAGGCCTTACCAAAAGGGATGTAGAGAAAGACCATGAGGATGGAGGAGAAATAGGAGACTTGCTCCTTCCTGTCTGTTGTCCTTCCTGTTGCTCCTTCCTGTTTCTATGCAACATCAGTTGAATCTAGGTGGCAGTTTTTCTACCTTCACAGAATCAGCTTCCTGAGAGACACCAGCACAAACTGACCATGACCACCTTCTCGGAGGTCTGGGTTTCAGCTCCATGGAGTCCCTTCACCAAGCTTTTAAGTTGTAACAGTCCTAATGGTCCTAGGAATGGTAGCTGCTTCTTTCAGTTGCTACCTCCATGATACATTAGTGTTTTATTTTTGTCTTTTAAATCCCTAGTTAACAACTTCACACCTAGTTAATAATTCCTTATATTAAATTCTCTATAAAAAGCTAGCTGGTTTGGTTTCTCTCCTCTAACTCACTCTAGCTGATAAATCAGCACCAAGAGTGTTTCTAGGAGACAGATCCTCAAAGTTAGGATTAGGGGATTCGTCTGCTCACACCTTGGGCTTGAGCACAGCGCTGAGCTCCTTATCAGTGAGACGCTGGGATCCGTGGCATGCAGCAGCATCAGGCTTCATCACACGGTCATCAGTTGTTGATTGGTGGTGAAAAGCCTGTAGATTCAAGTGTTTTGGGGGGACAAATGGCAGCTGCATTTGTCTGTTTGGCAGGAATGATGAGCACAAAGACTATTTTATTGAGCGAATTTATCTCAGAGCACTAGAGTGTGGACAGAAAGAAGTTTTGATGGAGAAGGTGATGGGAGGTTGGTGGTTTACACAGGCAGAGCTATATCACTTAACACCTGTGTAAGGAGGGGAAGGACTGAAGACAAGCATTCAAATATGAGGACCTCTTGACTTTCAAATGGTGAACAGCTCGGCTCCTTCCTCTGTGCCCTGTTCCCTGCAGGTGACAGTAGGCTGAGCCGAGCTCAGGGGAAGTGAACTTAGCCATGGAGACCTGGGGAGAAGTGGGCAGGTCTGTCTTCCCCATCTCCTCTATGTGAACACCAGGTTGTTTCTGCCGCCTTACCTAAGATAAATTTATGTTTCAAATTTTAAATCCGTTTGAGCCCAAACATTTTATATTTATATTTAGCCCTTAAAAATTGGAGAGACTGGTATTCCAGAAAAATGAGAAGGCTGCCTATGGAGATAAACTTTGAGAAACACCTGCAGCATATAAAGTTGAGATCTAGTCTTGCCAAAATCCAGTCATCAGGAACTTCAGAATTTCCACACAAAATAGAAAAGAAGATATTAACTCACATATTTCACATTAAAATACATTAAGAGTTAATTAGGCTATTGACAAACTTAAAATCCAGTTTTGCTATTTTTAAATGTTTATATAAAATAATAGCTATTCCCATTCAATGACCCTAAAATATTTAAAAAATAATTTTTCATTAATTAAAAGCAAAATCTACACACATCCTAAAGAGTACAGTTTACAAGCCTCATTATGTACATATGACACAAGACATTCAGAAGTAAAAAACAGAAAGTTGGATGAGAAATTACAGAAATGTGAAATTACAATATATTTAGAAATTAAGGAAAAATTATGACACCCTACCACGTTTGTCTCAAGGGTATTTCAATTTATAAGTCATCTCAGGAATAGTAAAATATTATAAATTAAATATAAAGAAGGTGAAAGAAATTTATATCTACTCAATCAGAAAAATCTTGTTCTTTTAAAGCAATGACTAAGCCTTCTACTTTCATAGCCTGGGCCCTGGCTCCATAAAGTCCCTGGCATTGAGCCCAGGGTTGCATATCTTCCTCCCAGTGAATGGGGCATAGAAATGCAAATCAGGTATCCTATTGGGGGTAATGCTGGTCTCATTATATGAATTTGGAAGTTTTTTTCAGTTTTTTTGAAGCATTTGAGAAGGATTGCTAGGAATTCTTCTTTAAATATTGCATTTCTATATGCTAGCATGAACTATCCAAAATGGAAAGTAAGGAAACAACTTCATTTACAACAGCACCAAAAATAATAAAATACTTAGAAATAAACAAAAGAGGTGAAGGACTTTGAGAACAAGTCATTGATAAAATAAGCTAAAGAAGACACAAATAAATGAAAAGATATAGCAAGTTCACAGATTAGAATATTGTTAAATTTAATATTGTTAAAATGTTCATACTACCCAAAGTGATCTACAGATTTAATGCATTCCCTATCAAAATTTTGATGACATTTTACCCAGAAATAGAAAAAAAAGTCCTAAAATTTGTATGGAACCAGAAAAAGCCTGAATAGATAAAGTAGTCGAGCAAGAAGAGCAAAGCTGAAGGCATCGCACTTCCTGATTTGAAATTATATTACAAAGCCATCGCTTTGACCTATGGCACTGACCTAAAAACACACACATGGACAAAATGGAACAGAATAGAGATCCCAGAAATAAACCCATGCATATATAGTCAACTAATCTTTGACAAAGGTGCTAGGAATACACAATGGGTAAAGTATATTCTCTTCAATAAATTGTGTTGAGACAATTGGATAGGTACATGCAAAAACAAACAAACAAACAAAAAAGGACCCTTATCTTATACCACACACAAAAATCAACTCAAAATGATCTTAAATGGAAGACCTGAAAATATAAGAATACTAGAAGAAAACGGGGAATGCCCCATGACACTTTTTATTTGGAAAATAATTTTTGGATATGACTGCAAACGCACAGGCAACAAAAGCAAAAATAGAGAAGTGAGATTACATGAAAGTAAAAAGCATCTGCATAGCAGAGGAAACAACCAAAAGAGTGAAGAGACAACCAATGGAATGGGAGATAATATTTGCAAGCCATACATCTGATAAGGGGCCCAAATCCAAAATATATAAGGAACTGAAACAAGTCCATAGTATGAAAACAATCAAATTTAAAAATGGACAAAAGACCTTGATGTGGTTTGGATCTGTGTCCCTGCCCAAATCTCATGTCAAATTATAATCCTCAATGTTGAAGGTGGGGCCTGGTGGGAGGCGACTGGATCATGAAGGTGGATTTCTCAAGAATGGCTTAGCACCATCCACTTGTGCTGATCTTGTGATAGTGAGTTCTTGTGAGATCTGGTTGTTTAAAAGTGTGTAGCACCTCCCTTCCCCTCTTGCTCCTGCTCCTGCCATGTAAGATGCCTTGCTCCCCCTTTGCCTCCTGCCGTGATTGAAAGTTTCCTGAGGCCTCCCCAGAAGTGGAGCAGATGCCAGCACCATGCTTCCTGTACAGCCTGTGGAACCATGAGCCAATTAAATCTCTTTTCTTTATAAATTACCCAGTTTCAGGTATTTCTTCATTGCAATGCGGAAATGGACTAATACAGACCTGAGTAGACATTTCTCAGAAGAAGACATACAAATGGCAACAGGTGTATGAAAAAATGCTCAACACCACTAATCATCAGTGAAATGCAAATTAAAACCACAATAAAATATCACCTCACACCCATTACTGTTGATGAAGGTGTGGAGAAAAGGGAACCTTTGTATACTTTTGCTGGGAATATGATTAGTACAGACATTATGGAAAACAGTATGGAGAGTCCTCAAAATATTGAAAATAGAACTATTATATGATCCAGCAATCCCATACTGGGTATTTATCCAAATGAACAAAAGAAACATACTGAAACATATTTCAGTATGTCAAAGAAATATCTGCATTCCCATGGTCATCCCATCATTATTCATAACAGCTAAGTTATGAAATCAGTCTATCGCTGATAAATGGTTATGAAGTGTCCACCACTGATAAATGGATAAAAATAATGTGTTGTATATACAAAATGGAATACTACTCAGCCTTAAAAAAGGAAATCTTTTCATTTGTGACAACATGAATTAACCTGGAAGACATTACGTTAAGTAAAATAATCCAGGCACAGAAAGACAAGTACTGTAATGGCCTCACTTATATGTGGAATCTACAAAGTTTCATAGCAGCAGAAAGCAGAACAGTGCTTACCAGGAACAGAGGGTAGAGGGTGAGGAGGACAAGGGAGAGGCTGGTCAAAGGGTACAAAGTTCAGTTAGACAGGAGAAATAAATTCAACTTGAGGACCATAATTAATAACAATGTGTTGTATACTTGAAAATTACTAAGAGATTAGATTTTTAAGTGCCTTATCACAATAAAAGAGAGATAAACATGTGAGGTAATGCATATGTTAATTAGCTCTCTTTAACCATTCCACAATGTATAAATATTTCAAAACATCATGTTTTACCATAAATATATATAATTTTTGTCAATAAAAAATAAATAAAACAACCATTAATGATTACACTTATTTATAAATGTATTTTATTATAAAAATTACTAATTTTACTTTTAGAGGAAACACCTAATCTGTCTATTAATCATACATTTGATAGAGCTACATAAAACTACCAATGGCTGAATACATGCTTTTTGAGGTCTAAGTATATTCTATATAAGTTCTATCCTTGGTGATGGACTCAAAGGCACATGCAATTCTTATATACAGTTTCGTGGGCTGCATTAAGTTAAACATGGTTATTCCATCAAGTGTGTGGCAATCTAAGCTCTTCCCTGTGAGTACCAGTGTTTTCACCTGCTCATAAAGGCTCAAATGTCAGCCCTGCTGCTGCTGAGACTTCATAGACACCTGGTAAGAGGCTGCCCAGCTCACTTGAACGACAGGATCAAATGGCCTGCCTGTCTATGTTATCCCAGTTTACCACTTACCAGCCATGTGATCTTGAATATTTGTTTGTTCCATCCAAGTGGTAGTTTCCTCATGCGTAACATGAAGATAATTAGAGTATCCCCATCTTCAGGTTTTCCAAAAGATTAAGTCGACTCGTGTCTATAAACTGCTGCTTAACACAATGTTTGGCACAGAGTATGCCCTTAATAAAGAGTGTGTATATCTTCTTTTGGGTATACCAGACACTTAAATGTGCTTCCTCAAGGTACTACTGAGCTGGGTCCTCGTGTATTTCCTGGGGCATTGGGTCATTGCCTGAGAAAACCACCTCCTGCCAAACCTTGTGGTGAGACAGAAGAGCACCAGTTACACAGAGCAGGGAAGGGCCGTCCATGCTGGTTTCGTCTGCTCCCCACTGCCTGGTTGCTCACGCTCACTGCCTCTATCCATCAGTCAAAGCACGACCATGCTTGGCCTTGGCCTGCTTCACAGAGGTGCCTTGAGAAGGAAGGAAAAGAGTACTGGAGTTGTGCTTAGAGCTCACTGGAATATGTGCTTCTATAAATTCAAGACATGACACCAATTAAAATCCATATTTAGAAAACCCTCATTGTCAATATGTTCATCCCACAAATTTGTGATTCCTTATGCAGAGCCATGAAGCACTCCCGGCCTTCTCTGCTGTTTGTTTCAGTTGGCAAGCTGGCCTCTACCCAACAACTACGAGGGAAGATTTGCTTTCAACTGATAAGACAACAGCAACATTACCACCCATCCCTGAAGTGAAGCATGCTTTTCCCAGACCATTACAGTTGGCCCTCTGTGTACATGGGTTCCACATGCATGGATTCAGATAAAAAAGCAGAGTTGTGTCTGTACTGTACATGTACATACATATGTCTTTTCCTTGTCATTATTCCCTAAACAATATAGCATACGACTACTTGCATAGCATTTGCATTAAAGTATTATAATCTAGAGATAATTTAAGGCATATGGGAAGATATGCATAAGTTATATGCAAATACTATGCCATTTTGTATGAGGGACTGGAGCATCTGTGGATTTTGTTGTCTGCTGGAGATCCTGGAACCAAACCACTACAGTTACTGAGTGATGACTGTATTTTCTCATAGAATGATGTTCTTAATCCTAGAGTGATACCCCTTGGGTGGGATATGCTGGAGAATTAATCATTGTAATAAGATCTTGAGATCTTATTTAGTTACAAAGCTATCTGATTTTTAAAAAATTTATGGTTACACAGCTATCTGATTTTCAAAAATTCTTTATGTTGGCTTGTGGTAGTGGCTTATCGTAACACAAAACATAGTTTCCAAACACGTCACAGTACAGCACAACAGAGGAATTAATTAAAGACCCAATAAGCCATAGGAAGTGGGCAGCCAGTGTTGGGGTTACGGGTTGCGTGTGGTCAGGCAGTCAGCCCATGCAGTAGCTACTGGGTGATGGTACTGTGGCTCTTCCAGGGAAGCAGCCCTCCCAGACTCTTTCAGTCTCTCTGTATGATCTCTGACACGAGGCTTGGAGGTTGAGCTTTTACGAGCCTGTTGGGTAGCCATCTGCAAGATCACACAGGCATGGGAGGACTGGGCAGAGAGACACTGTCATCTGCTTAAGAATTGTGCTTCAAGAGAATGACGTCAACAAAGTCACAGAGGAGGCAGTGTCAATCTCCCATTCTCCCACAGAAACACTGCCAAAGAAGAAACTGCAGAACCAGCTTTGTCTGAATGGTGGAAAACAATCGCTGGTTACAGTAACCAATTGAATGCTGAACAAAGGAAGTCAACTTAAAAACAGAAGGAAAGATAAGAAGAAGAACACCAGCAAAGTGACACAGTAGATGGCCTGCTGTGCCCTCCACAGAAACATTGAAAAACTAGCAGAAATGGTCAGACCCAACTTTGTGAGAACCCTGAAAAAGTCAAAGGTAAAGCCATGAAACACACTGAATCAAGGGATATTTTAAACTCTTCAGTATTTTTAACTTTTGACTGTAATTAATGATGCCAAATATGATAAGATGTTTCCAGATATGGTGTCTTAGAACTTGTTTAAATAATGGTTACAATATAATCCCCATGAATGTATACTATTGAAATGAAGTATTTTAAATTCAATTATGTACCGGCTAAAAGCTATGGTTTATTTTTAGGTACTTTAAAAATGTTCAATAAGGCAAAGCCTATCACTCCCCAATGGAATATGTATTCAACAGTGTACATCATGAACTTTTTATTACATATTATTATTACAAACATATTACATATTACACTATCAGATGGAAAATAGGCCATTGTCTGGGAGGTTTTAGGTGATCACACTAAGTCTTCATATTTTTAGGCTTCCTTCCCTTTCTCTAAGGACAGAATAACGACAGTGTCACTAACGATGTAAATTCCACCAGATCATTATCAACGTGACTTTTTAAATTCAGTACGGAAAATAATTTCATGAAACTCTGGGATAGAAGGCCAGATAACAGATAATCAAGGCAACTTCTGCTAGGCTTAAATGAACAGATCTGAGACCTTATGCACAAGGTCAGAAATCCCAGTCTGTCCAAGTAGGACTGTCTGACTGATGGTCAAGCTGTGGGAAGAGGATCTGAAGTCTATCTGCACAATGTTCATGTGTACTTTTTTTTCTTGGAGTAAAATCATAGTAAAGGTTGAAATATTTCATCGTTTATTTTAGTTCACTATTGCTAGAACACAGGAGATCCATTATCAGACTTAAGATTTCAACTTAAAAATCATGCACGGGACTCAGAATTTACTGTCATGTGTTTTCTTTTTTCTTTTCTATGGTTTCACAATATCACCTATCATAAGCTCAAAAATGTAAAGCCTTGAGCCTCAAATAAATGGCAAACTGGGTCCTTTGGGTGTGTTTGAAAGGAAGTTTTGACACGCAGCTCTGATAGTGGCCATCATCCCAAAGACTCTTGTCAAAATATCCAGTAGCGAAATATTTCTCACCAACTGTCGTAAGCCATCACTTTCAGCCAGGCTCAGGAAGTGCTGAGAGCCTGGGAAGCTAAGGATAAATGGAGTATGTGGCAAGTACTAGTGAAGACAGGTGCCAACACCTGCTTCCTAGTGTGATCCATCCTTGGTTGTTCAGAAAAAGGAAGAAATGCATTGCTCTCAATGACAAAATCACCGAGCACTCACAATGTGTATTATATGCCAGATCTTACAGTGGAAACACTTACTAGCATTTCTACCTCACTACTAATTTTGACACTCTAGCAGTCTCTGGTGGTTTGCATTGTTCCAAATATAGATTGATTTTCTTTGCAGAAAATTCCAGAAACATGATTTGGAGAGAATGGAAGAGGGATTTCCTCAGCTGAATCTGGAGGGAGAGCAGGGACAATGTGTAGAAATGTGTCTGGGCACAACTCTCTTCAAAATTCAAGACTTTCCAAAGGAAACCCCCTTGATGGACAGGACTCCAGACAGAAGTAAACTGTGCTGGTAACTTATGGAATCAAAACACATTTCTACATTTGCTTTGAGCCTGCCTAGCTCAACAGGGCCAGCAGAGCCTGGAACCTGTTTGAGCTGCTCCTGGCACACAGAGACATGTATTTCCTTTGACCTTTGACCATCATTGCCAGAACAGATTGTAATAATGGTTGTGGTCTCACCTGAGTTGTATAGTGAGGGTAATTGTTCAAACTATTGCCAGGGCAGACAGACCTGTCTCTTCGATGGTCACAAATCAGCTGATCATAGAGGCGAAGGGGATAGCTGGAGCTTTCCATTTTCATATTTATTCTCTTTGAAGTTTCTTAACTATATCTTGTTATTGCAGCAACCTCAAGACAGAGCCAAGGAAGAGGATCTTCCAAGCACATTCAGTTTTATGTTAAGTGGCTTAGTGATCTCCCAACAACCCACCTCCGAACCTGACACTGACCTGACCAACTTTAGGATCCTCATATCAGAAATCTGGTCAGATAGTGCATAAGAGACTCTCATCTGCCATCCAAGACCAAGAAGAAAAAATGAGATGGATTGGGGAAAGAATAAGAAGAGAGACTGAGATGAGGAGTGACTTAAAGATGGACCAAGGCAGAGATGAAGTTTAGAGCCATTGTGTAGTACAATTTTTTATAGACAGTAAGAACCTGTAGTCAGTAAATGCTGAATTTATGAACATTCTCATTTCATTTCCCCACGATAGAAAACTGAACGAGAGTATTGAAAATCTTTATTTTATACACATTCAACCCAAAATGTTGTATATGACCAAAGTTGCAGAGATGACATAGTTAACTTACATGTTTTTACATATGGCTACATTTATATTATCCATAATAGAAGTGAGAAGCAATCTGAGTAGCACCAAGCAATAAAAACAAACAAACAAACAAAGAACTTTCACTTTGGAATGCAATCAAGCAAGCAGCCACGTTTGCCATTTCCATGCCTGGCCTGGACTCTTTCCTAGGCCAAGCCTTTGGTCTGTTTCACTAGGACTCTCCCAAGTAATGGTAGGAAGAAAGTTCCAGCCTTCAAGGGAATTCATATTGCACCTAATATACTTGGAAACAGACTAGAGTTGATTTTATTTTATTTTATTTTATTTTATTTATTTTGAGACGGAGTCTTGCTCTGTTGCCCAGGCTGAAGTGCAATGGTGCGATCTTGGCTCACTGCAACCTCCACTTCCCAGGTTCAAGCAATTCTCCGGCTTCAGCCTTTCAAGTAGCTCGGATTACAGGCACCTGGCCACCACACCCAGCTAATTTTTTTGTATTTTTAGTAGAGACAGGATTTCACCATGTTGGCCAGGCTGGTCTCAAACTCCTGACCTCAGGTGATCCACCCACCTTGGCCTCCCAAAGTGCTGGGATTACAGGTGTGAGCCACCGTGCCCAGCCTGTTTTATTTAGACTTTATAATTATTAAATATATTATGCAAAAATAAGGCATTCTCTGATTTGAGGACCCCCAGAGTGGGTTATGCATTTTCTCGTCACTAGATCAAGGCTGTGATGTGGAGGAATTCGATGAGAAAGGAAAAGGCAGAGAGTGGAACATGAATGTGGCCCAGCATCTCAGGCCAGCTGAATTCCAGGCTACTACAAACAAAAGACTGTGCTAGTCACCGGGGATATAGTGGTGAAAAAAAGTAATGTCTCTGGTTTCATGAAGCTTATATTCTATTAGATGGAGACGACAAATAAATATATAAGTAAAAGATACAGTAAATAGGATGGGGTGCATGTCATGTAGAGAATGAAGCAGGGTGTGGAAGCTGGGCATGCGGCTGATGTGTATGCTGCCTTGTGTTGGATGGCCATGGAGGGCTTCGGAAGTGAGCTGGCATCTGCTCAGAGACCTAAAATAAGTGAGGAGATGGGCCACATGGCTATGGGGGAAGGAGCTTTCCAGATAGTGGGAAGGAAAGTACAAAGGTGCAAAGGAGGGAGAATGCGGGTGTGACTGAAGGACAGCGAGGTAACTGCAGCTGAACAGTTGAAAACAGGGTGGTAGGAAATTAGCTTAGAGAGGTAGGGGGTGGTCAACCGTATCAGGTTGTTTAAGGCATTTTAAAACCATAGCTTTTAGTTGATGTGAAACAGGAAGACACTGGAAGCCCTCCGTGGCCATCCAACACAAGGCAGCACACATATCAGCCGCATGCCCAGCTCCCACACCCTGTTTCATTCCCTACATTACACGCGCCCCATCCTATTTACTGTATCTTTTACTTATATATTTATTTGTCGTCTCCATCTAATAGAATATAAGCTTCATGAAACCAGAGACATTATTTTTTTTCACCACTATATGCCCGGTGACTAGCACAGTCTTTTGTTTGCAGTAGCCTGGAATTCAGCTGGCCTGAGATGCTGGGCCACATTCATGCTTCACTCTCTGCCTTTCCTTTCTCATCGAATTCCTCTACATCATGTCTTTCCCATGCTATTCTCGTGATAGTGAATAAGTCTCACGAGATCTAATGGGTTTATCAGGGGTTTCTGCTTTTGCTTCATCCTCATTCTCTCTTGCGCCGCCACATAAGAAGTACCGTTCGCCTCCCGCCATGATTCTGAGGCCTCCCCAGCCATGTGGAACTGTAAGTCCAATTAAACCTCTTTCTTCCCAGTCTCGGGTATGTCTTTATCGGCAGCATGAAAACGGACTAATACAGTTATCATCGGTTAGAAATCCCATGTGTTAGGTGCACATATTTGTGTATCTCAGACCCTCCAGGGCTTAGAGAGCATGAGTAAAAATTGGAGCGGGATGAAGTAAGATCAAGTACTTTAGAGGCCTTTGAGAGGCACGGGGGTAATGGAGACGCTGGAGGGATCATTCACCCCAACACTGGACTTTGCCCTAAACCAGACCCGTATGTGTGTGTGATGGCAATGAAACAGGAGACTCCTGGGCTGTGCAGGAATTCCCAGGTTGGCTGAGACACACACCCGGCAGTGGGCGTGGGGCCTGTCAAGGCAGATTGTCTAGCTCAGGTTCGGCTGGAGCTGAGCTCTGTTGTGTATGCTGTGATCCCAGGGCGGAGGAGTATCTCCAAGATGGGAATTTTTAGTGTGCATCCCATGGTTTCTCCTGGCCACACCCATGCAATCCAGAGCTTTAACCCCTGACGGGGACATGATTCAGTCAGCCACTGGGAAGGAACTAGAGAAAGCCTATTCGCAGGGTCTGGGAGTCTTCAGACCTGTCTTTGTGAGGACAACGTGAAGGATCCATCCAGTGAGCGTAACTGATTTGGCTGGGTTGACTTGGCCTTGTAAAAGGAGAGGAAAAATCCTTGGAGGTGTCAGTGAAGATGGTGATCAGGGCATGTGAGAATAGCTCAGGGGCAGTGGGCAAGAATGTTGAGCAGAGGGCTTGGGATTGTGGCAAAATCTGGAAACAGAGTAATAAGATTATTGGCAGAAACTCAGACCAGAGAGAAGGTACTGATACCAAGAGCGTTGCTGAGGGTAGTTCAAGGACATAAAGCTAGGAAATGCCATGCAGGAAGTCAAGCCCAGATTCAACTGGCCACAAGGCTGGTGTCTTCCCGTCACACGGCGCTCCTTCTGGACTTTAGGTTGATACGTTTGAATGGAGCAGAGGGCAGGTGACTAATGGGATATAGAGAGAGACAAGTAAGGGCTCTGCTGTGGACAATCATGTGTCTAGCTAAGGAATTTAGGGAACTGCTCAGGTTTTATGAGCCAAGGGATAATTTGTAGTATGGTGTGACAAGGAGAAGGATCTGCAGAAACATGCAGGATGAATTCATGCAGGGAAAGATTCAACATGGAGACTATTACAGCAGAATCAAAGCCTGTGAAGAGAAAAGTAATTGCATGCTCATAAACTAATTGCACCATTGACAATAAGGCAGAAATAGATATCGTTACTTATTTTTTAAAATAAAAAGCTGTACAAAGAATCAATGACACTTGAAAAAAAGTGAAGCTGGCAATGCTTGCTCTTTCCTCTCATTAAACCCAAAGTCATTTTAAAATCCCGAGGAACAGTGTCCTTGGAGATTTTTCTTTGAATCCCTTTACCCAAATCCCAAGTAGCAGGTGAACAAAGATTTTTCACTTCATAAAAGGCAATCTTCGGCTAATAGTTTCTCTTTTTTTTGAAGATGTCTTTGATGTAAGAGCAGATGCCACTGGTTTTATATGAGACCAGCTGAAATAATAAATAATTTCTCAAGGTCCTTTAATTGGAATAAGGCTTAATTTCCTCCTCCATGAATATATCAGAAAATGAACTTCCCCGAAAGATCTAGTTAATTATTAATAAATTGAACAGAGTGTAAGTTATTGAAGAGCAATTCTGATTTATCCAAACATACACCTAATAATTCCTTTCAAAACTGGCTAGAATCAGGGACATACTAAACATTCAAGATTTACAGTACTGTGTACCTGGCCTTGTGGTATTCTTTGAACTAAATCAAATTTTTTGGTGTCAAACAATAAATGAATTTGATGTTTATTTGAAAAAAATCATTTTTATTGAAAGATACTTTAATACTAACTGTAGTGGAAAAATACCTAGATTTTTTATTAGAAAACTCTTAAGACTGCTCCTATCCTTCTGTGAAAACACACATCCTCTAAAATCAGTATTTTAATGATATGGCAAAGTTGCAAGACTGTTAATGGGAACAAAGTTTCTACTCATTCTTTTGTCTGTTTTGGTTAGCATTGCTTTTTGTGGGGTCTGAAGTTTTCCCATAAATCATATAGTTCCACAAATCATGTAGTTTCCAGTGGGTACTTTCAAATATGCTACCTAAGCCTCCTGGCCATGGAGTTGGATCAGGACCCACTTGGACCAAACAGATTATCCTATGCCCCAACCATAGTGATTGACTCAGATTGGCCCCGCTGAGCCAATCCCAATCTTTCCTGGGATTTCTCTAATTTACTAGTGAAAAAGAGCCGTCCACCCTCCAAACTGACACCTATACTTTCAGCTATCTGTGACTATGGCTTTAGCTGAATGTGTACAACTGACCTAAGAAAATGAAGCAAAAGGCAGACAGAAGACAGAAGCAGCAACAAGACACAACACGAGGTGTGCAGCACCCTGGGGTCAGCTAGAACCACCCCTGTTCTGTTGGTAGCCTGGCTGTGCGAGTCAGTATATTCTGGTTGGTTTTTGCTCCCAGACCAGGTCCGATGAGGAGGAGCCCTCATCAGACAAGATCCTCTCCCACTGCACGCCATTCATAAATGCCCAAAGGAATACAGAGGCTTAGTCTGGGCGTGACTCCCTCTGGGTTGAGGCTCTGACAGTGAGACAGAGTTCCCCGCCCTCACAGGACTTTCCTTAGCGATTATGAACTTGTCACTTCTGAAGATTTTAAGACAGGGATCCAAAATAACCCTACAAAATAGGCTGGTGTTGTATGAAGTGCTTTCAAAAATTAAATTTAGATCATGAATTTTCCAGAGAACCCCCTAGAAGTGAGGGGTCATTTTAAGCTGACGTCTGTATCCTTTTGATGTGTCCCCACTATTATTATTATTGTAATAATTATTAGTTTAAACACTTAGTTGCTTGCATCACTCAGTGTCCCAGACTCACCTTGAATTCTCCCTTCCTAGGCTCTGGAATCAGCTGTTTCCTCCAAGGAGCCCAGTTTATTCAGTTGAAAATGAGATTTAGAAACCAAGGCCTGGATGTTAGGTGTGCTCATTGGTACTGGGTGGTCATTGTGCCTATTCCCTTGTGGGTGTCTCCTCACCACACCTGAGCTGTGACACGTGCCCTCTGCCTCACCTCACCTGGCTTTGGCATTCCAGTCCAGGCCTGCACCTTCCACATGGCTTCTCTTTGCTCCTTGAAGGGCTCTGACACCAGCCCTGGGCCACTGCCAACACCAAATTCTGATGGCTCTGGCTTACACTGGGCTGCACAGACACCCTTGTCACCCTGCTTGGCTCTGTGGGCTCTGACAGCCCATGCTAGGCCATCTGTACCTGGTGGCAGTTTGCAAACTCCACTAGCTTAGGAGAGGGGTCAGTGATAGTGGCGCAGCTCTCAACAGAGGGCATGCACGTGATGGGAGTGTCTTGTATCATTCAGATAATGAGGGCCACATACAAATGAATAACCAACAAATTCCATGTTCAGAAATGGCTTTCCAGCGCTCATATCTAATTGGGTGGTTACTCTGCTTCTCATTTTTAAAGTATTAGAATATCCAGATCTGTTCAAGTAACCAAAGAAAATTTTTTCCATGAGATATAAAGGGTACTCCTATAAGTTAAATTGGCTTATAAGGAAGTGTATGGTGTTTAAAATTCAAAATGTTCAGAAAAATACTGACAGATCAACTTTACCATGGAGAATTCTTAGTATAAAATAACTTATTTCATGTGAAGATGCCAGATAGATAAGATTACGAAGTCCTGAAAATGCCTTTTCTTCTTCCACTGCTATTCTTTTTTAAAAAATAATTTTACTTTCCATTTTTAAAATAATTTTCATTATAAAATTAAAAAATTATTAGTAAAATTTAAAAAAACAATTTCCCATAAATCTCCATGAGGCAATTGGAAAGTTTCTCTTGTTTTTTTTGAGACGGAGTCTAACTCTGTCACCTAGGCTGGAGTGCAGTGGCGCTCCATTTGTTTGTATCCTCTTTTATTTTGTTGAGCAGTGGTTTGTAGTTTTCCCTGAAGAGGTCCTTCACGTCCCTTGTAAGTTGTATTCCTAGGTATTTTATTCCCTTTGAAGCAATTGAGAATGGGAGTTCACTCATGATTTACATGCTTTAGCTGTTTGTCTGTTATTGGTGTATAAGAATGCTTGTGATTTTTGTACATTGATTTCGTATCCTGAGACTTTGCTGAAGTTGCTTATCAGGTTAAGGAGATTTTGGGCTGAGACGATGGGGTTTTCTAGATATGCAATCATGTCATCTGCAAACAGGGACAATTTGATTTCCTCTTTCCTAATTGAATACCCTTTATTTCTTTCTCCTGCCTAATTGCCCTGGCCAGAACTTCCAACACTATGTTGAATAGGAGTGGTGAGAGAGGGCATCCTTGTCTTGTGCCAGTTTTCAAAGGGAATGCTTCCAGTTTTTGCCCATTCACTATGATATTGGCTGTGGGTTTGTCATAAATAGCTCTTATTATTTTGAGACACGTCCCATCAATATCTAGTTTATTAAGAGTTTTTAGCATGAAGGGCTGTTGAATTTTGTCAGAGACCTTTTCTGCATCTATTGAGATAATCATGTGGTTTTTGTCTTTGGTTCTGTTTTTATGCTGGATTATGCTTATTGATTTGCATATGTTGAACCATCCTTGCATCCCAGGGATGAAGCCCACTTGATCATGGTGGATAAGTTTTTGATGTGCTGCTGGATTCAGTTGGCCAGTATTTTATTGAGGATTTCTGCATCGATGTTCATCAGGGATATTGGTCTAAAATTCTCTTTTTTTGTTGTGTCTCTGCCAGGCTTTGGTATTAGGATGATGCTGGCCTCATAAAATGAGTTAGGGAGGATTCCCTCTTTTTCTATTGATTGGAATGGTTTCAGAAAGAATGGTACCAGCTCCTCCTTGTACCTCTGGTAGAATTCGGCTGTGAATCCATCTGGTCCTGGACTTTTTTTGGTTGGTAAGCTATTAATTTTTGCCTCAATTTCAGAGCCTGTTATTGGTCTATTCAGAGTTTCAACTTCCTCCTGGTTTAGTCTTGGGAGGGTGTATGTGTCCAGGAATTTATCCATTTCTTCTAGATTTTCTAGTTTATTTGCGTAGAGGTGTTTGTAATATTCTCTGATGGTAGTTTGTATTTCTGTGGGATTGGTGGTGATATCCCCTTTATCATTTTTTATTGTGTCTATTTGATTCTTCTCTTTTCTTCTTTATTAGTCTTGCTAGTGGTCTATCAATTTTGTTGATCTTTTCAAACAACCAGCTCCTGGATTCATTGATTTTTTGAAGGGTTTTTTGTGTCTCTATCTCCTTCAGTTCTGCTCTGATCTTAGTTATTTCTTGCCTTCTGCTAGCTTTTGAATGTGTTTGCTCTTGCTTCTCTAGTTCTTTTAATTGTGATGTTAGGGTGTCAATTTTAGATCTTTCCTGCTTTCTCTTGTGGGCATTTAGTGCTATAAATTTCCCTCTACACACTGCTTTAAATGTGTCCCAGATTCTGGTATGTTGTGTCTTTGTTCTCGTTGGTTTCAAAGAACATCTTTATTTCTGCCTTCATTTCATTATGTACCCAGTAGTCATTCAGGAGCAGGTTGTTCAGTTTCCATGTAGTTGAGTGGTTTTGAGTGAGTTTCTTAATCCTGAGTTCTAGTTTGATTGCACTGTGGTCTGAGAGACAGTTTGTTATACTTTCTGTTCTTTTACATTTGCTGAGGAGTGCTTTACTTCCAACTATGTGGTCAATTTTGGAATAAGTGTGATGTGGTGCTGAGAAGAACGTATATTCTGTTGATTTGGGGTGGAGAGTTCTGTAGATGTCTATTAGGTCCACTTGGTGCAAAGCTGAGTTGAGTTCAATTCCTGGATATCCTTGTTAACTTTCTGTCTCATTGATCTGTCTAATGTTGACAGTGGGGTGTTAAAGTCTCCCATTATTATTGTGTGGGAGTCTAAGTCTCTTTGTAGGTCTCTAAGGACTTGGTTTATGAATCTGCTTACTCCTGTATTGGGTGCATATATATTTAGGATAGTTAGCTCTTCTTATTGAATTGATCCCTTTACCATCATGTAATGGCCTTCTTTGTCTCTTTTGATCTTTGTTGGTTTGAAGTCTGTTTTATCAGAGACTAGGATTGCAACCCCTGCCTTTTTTTGTTTTCCATTTGCTTGGTAGATCTTCCTCCATCCCTTTGTTTTGAGCCTATGTGTGTCTCTTGCACGTGAGATGGGTTTCCTGAATACTGATGGGTCTTGACTCTATCCAATTTGCCAGTCTGTGTCTTTTAATTGGAGCATTTAGCCCATTTACATTTGAGGTTAATATTGTTATGTGTGAATTTGATCCTGTCATTATGATGTTAGCTGGTGATTTTGCCCATTAGTTGATGCAGTTTCTTCCTAGCCTCGATGGTCTTTACAATTTGGGATGTTTTTTGCAGTGGCTGGTACTGGTTGTTCCTTTCCATGTTTAGTGCTTCCTTCAGGAGCTCTTGTAGGGCAGGCCTGCTGGTGACAAAATGTCTCAGCATTTGCTTGTCTGTAAAGTATTTTATTTCTCCTTCACTTATGAAGCTTAGTTTGGCTGGATATGAAATTCTGGGTTGAAAATTCTTTTCTTTAAGAATATTGAATATTGGCCCCCACTCCTCCTGGCTTGTAGAGTTTCTGCCGAGAGATCAGCTGTTAGTCCGATGGGCTTCCCTTTGTGGGTAACCCGACCTTTCTCTCTGGCTGCCCTTAACACTTTTTCCTTAATTTCAACTTTGGTGAATCTGACAATTATGTGTCTTGGAGTTGCTCTTCTCGAGGAGTATCTTTGTGGTGTTCTCTGTATTTCCTGAATTTGAATGTTGGCCTGCCTTGCTAGGTTGGGGAAGCTCTCCTGGGTAATATCCTGCAGAGTATTTTCCAACTTGGTTCCATTCTCCCTGTCACTTTCAGGTACACCAATCAGACGTAGATTTGGTCTTTTCACACAGTCCCATATTTCTTGGAGGCTTTGTTCGTTTCTTTTTATTCTTTTTTCTCTAAACTTCTCTTCTTGCTTCGCTTCATTCATTTGATCTTCAATCACTGATACCCTTTCTTCCAGTTGATCGAATCAGCTACTGAAGCTTGTGCATTCGTCACGTAGTTCTCGTGCCATGGTTTTCAGCTTCATCAGGTCATTTAAGGACTTCTCTACATTGGTTATTCTAGTTAGCCATTTGTCTAATCTTTTTTCAAGGTTTTTAACTTCTTTTCGATGGGTTTGAATTTCCTCCTTTATCTCGGAGAAGTTTGGTTGTCTGAAGCCTTCTTCTCTCAACTCTTCAAAGTCATTCTCCGTCCAGCTTTGTTCCATTGCTGGTGAGGAGCTGCGTTCCTTTGGAGGAGGAGAGGTGCTCGGATTTTTAGAATTTTCAGTTTTTCTGCTCTGTTTTTTCCCCATCTTTGTGGTTTTATCTACCTTTCGTCTTTGATGATGGTGACATATAGATGGGGTTTTGGTGTGGATGTCCTTTCTGTTTGTTAGTTTTCCTTCTAACAGTCAGGACCCTCAGCTGCAGGTCTGTTGGAGTTTGCTGGAGGTCCACTCCAGACCCTGTTTGTCTGGGTATCAGCTGTGGAGGCTGCAGAACAGCGAATATTGCTGAACAGCAAATGTTGCTGCCCGATCATTCCTCTGGAAGTTTCATCTCAGAGGGGTACCCGGCCGTGTGATGTGTTAGTCTGCCCCTATGGGGGGTGTCTCCCAGTTAGGCTACTCGGAGATCAGGGACCCACTTGAGGAGGCAGTCTGTCCATTCTCAGATCTCCAGCTGCATGCTGGGAGAACCACTACTCTCTTCAAAGCTGTCAGACAGGGACATTTAAGTCTGCAGAGGTTTCTGCTGCCTTTTGTTGGGCTATTCCCTGCCCCCAGAGGTGGAGTCTACAGAGGCAGGCAGGCCTCCTTGAGCTGCGGTGGGCTCCACCCAGTTCGAGCTTCCCTGCCCCTTTGTTTACCTACTCAAGCCTCAGCAATGGTGGGCACCCCTCCCCCAGCCTCACTGCCACCTTGCAGTTCGATCTCAGACTGCTGTGTTAGCAATGAGTGAGGCTCTGTGGGCGTGGTACCCTCCAAGCCAAGCATGGGATATAATCTCCTGTTGTGCTGTTTGCTAAGACCATTGGAAAAGTGCAGTATTAGGGTGGGAGTGACCCGATTTTCCAGGTGCCATCTGTAACAGCTTTGCTTGGCTAGGAAAGGGAATTCCCTGACCCCTTGCGCTTCCTGGGTGAGGCGATGCCTCTCCCTTCTTTGGCTCACACTCGGTGTGCTGCACCCACTGTCCTGCACCCACTGTCCGACTAGCCCCAGTGAGATGAACCCATTAACTCAGTTGGAAATGCAGAAATCACCCATCTTCTGTGTCGCTCACCCTGGGAGCTGTAGACTGGAGCTGTTCCTGTTCGGCCATCTTGGAACCCAGAGTAAACATTCTTATAGTTAAAGTGTTGTAACTGGCCAGGCATGGTGGCTTATACCTGTAATACCAGCACCTCAGGAGGCCGAGACAGGAGGATTGCTGGAGTCCAGGAGTTCAAGACCAGCCTAGCAACATATGAAGACCCTGTCTCTACAAAAAAGAAATCGGTGTATCTTCCTAATTATATATTTGTGATGAATTCCCAGAAATTAGAATTGAAATTACTAGTTCAAACAAAATCCACATTTGACGCTTTTTGATCTGGGTCGCCAAAGGGCCAGTAGAAAGGATTTTAGAGTGGATACAGCTTGGGTGGATGAAAGCTACGGCCAGCGTTAAATGTGTTGGATTAATATCCAATATATCCTAAGAGGTCCTTGTCTCTTAATGGGAGAGAAAATGATATCTCACTCTTCATTTGTAGAAAGGTGGACTTTTTTCTATTTTCTAGTAACAATTTGTATTTCTTTACAGGAAAATTTGCAGCTATGCAGCCTGCCTTTTTTTTTTGGCTGGAATGTTCATTTTATTACAGATTTGTAGGAGCTATTTGTTAAGAATATCAGACTTCTGTCAAGTATGCTACAAATGGCATTCTGAGTTTATAGTTCTCCTTTTATTTTTTGACACATAGTGTTAAACAATTTTATGTAGTAAACTCTATTAGGGTTTTTCTATGTATTTTGACCCTTAGGATGAGCTTATAAAGGTCTTCCTCATTCAAAATATTATGTATTTTTTATTTCTTCTTGAAATTTATGGCATCAAATTTTAAGTTAAAATTCATCTGAAATTTATTTTGATATTTGGCATGATTTTTATGCATAGAAAAGTACACAGGTAATATAAATATATTGTTAAAAGAATAATAATAAAACAAACACTCACGTTCTCACCAGCCAGCCTCAGAAATAGAACATAATAATTCATCTGTATATCTTCATGCTATGACATTCCCTTGATTTTTATTAGAGTTTTTCAAATGCATATGAATTCCTAGGCAATATATTGGCTCTTCCCCTTTTGTCCCTTTCTATTAGAATCATATAGTTATTATGTTTTTGTGATGAGTTTTATTTTGTGTTCAGTATTGGTTTCCTAGATCATCCATGTTAATGCATGTAGTTTGTTTTCATTGATAGTTAGTGGTCCATGTTTTATTTGTTTATTAAATAATATCAACTTTTACTTTAGATTCAGAGGGTACATATGCAGGTTTGTCACATGAGAATATTCTGTGACACTGAGGTTTGGGGTATGAAAGTTCTCATCACCCAAGTAGTAAGCATCCTACCCAATAGGCAGTTTTTCAGCCCTTGTCCCTCCTGCCTCTCTTCCCACCCAATAGTCCCCCGTGTCTATTGTTCCCATCTTTGTGTCCATGTTTAGCCAGAGTTTGGCTCCCACTTCTAAGTGAGAACATGTGTTGTTTGGTTTTCTGTTCCTGTGTTGCTTCACTTAGGATAATGGTCTCCCGCTGCATCCATGTTGCTGCAAAGGACATGATTTTGTTCTTTTATATGGCTTTTTATTCCATGGTGTATATGTACCACATTTTCCTTATGCAATCCACCATTGATGGGCACCTTGGTTAGTTCCATATCTTTGCTATTGCGAATAGTGCTGCAGTGAACACACGAGTGTATGCATCTTTTTGGTGAAATAATTTATTTTTCTTTGGGCATATACACAGTAATGGGATTGCTGGGTCTAATGGTAGTTCTGTTTTAAGTTCTTTTAAAAATCTCCACATTGATGTCCACAGTAGCTAAACTAGTTTGCATTCCCACCAGCAGTGTATATGCCTTCCCTTTTCTCTGTAGCCTCGCCAGCATCTGTTATTTTTAGACTTTTTAATAATAGCCATTCTGACTGGTATGAGATAGTACCTCATTGTGGTTTTCATTTGCATTTCTCTAATGATTAGTGATGTTGAGCATTTTTCATGTTTGTTGGCTGCTTTTATGTCTTTTAAAAAATGTCTGCTCATGTCCTTTGCCCACTTATTTATTCATTTATTTTTTGAGATAGGGTCTCAGTCTGTCATGCAGGCTGGAGTGCAGTGGTGTGATCACGGCTCATTGCAGCCTCGACCTCCAAGGCTCAAGAAATCCTCCTGCCACAGCCTCCCAAATAGTGGAGACTACAGGCATGCACCACGATGCCTATTGGATTAATAAAAATTGCAGAAACAGGGTCTTGCTATGATGCCCAGGTTGCTCTCAAACTCCTGCGCTCAAGCAATCCTCCTGCCTCTGCCTCCCAAAGTGCTGGGATTATAGGTATGAGCCACTTCATCCAGCCTTTTGCCCACTTTTTAATGGAATTATTTGTTTTATGCTTGTTGAATTGTTTTAAGTTCCTTATAGATTCTGGATGTTAGACCTTTGTTAGATGCATAGTTTGTGAATATTTTCTCCCCTTCTGTAGGTTGTCTGTTTACTCTGTTGATAGTTTCTTTAGCTGTGCAGAAGCTCTTTAATTTAGTTAGGTCCTACTTGTCAATTTTTGTTTCTGTTGCAACAGCTTTGGAGGATTTGGTCATAAATTCTTTGCCAAGCCAGATATCAAGAAGTGTATTTCCTAGATTTTCTTCTATGATTTTTATACTTTGAGGTCTTACATTTAAATCTTTAAGCCATGTTGAGTTAATTTTTGTATATGGTGAAAGGGAGGGGTACAGTTTCTTCTTCTGTATATGGCTAGCTGGTTATCCCAGCACCATTTATTGAACAGTAAGTCCATTTCCCATTGCTTATTTTTGTCAAGTTTGTCAAAGATCAGATGGTTGTGGGTGTGTGGCTTTTTGTTTGGGTTCTTTATTCTGCTCCATTGGTCTATGTGTCTGTTTTTGTACAAGTACCATGCTGTTTTGGTTACAATAGCCTTATAGTATGTTTTGAAGTTGGGTGATGTGATGCCTCCAGCTTTGTTCTTTTTGCTTAGGATTGCTTTGGCTATTTGCACTCCTTTTTGGTTCCATATGAATTTTAGAATTTTTTTTCTTTTTTTTTTTTTTTCTTTTTATTGATCATTCTTGGGTGTTTTTCATAGAGGGGGATTTGGCAGGGTCATAGGACAATAGTGGAGGGAAGGTCAGCAGATAAACAAGTGAACAAAGGTCTCTGGTTTTCCTAGGCAGAGGACCCTGCGGCCTTCCGCAGCGTTTGTGTCCCTGGGTACTTGAGATTAGGGAGTGGTGATGACTCTTAAGGAGCATGCTGCCTTCAAGCATCTGTTTAACAAAGCACATCTTGCACCGCCCTTAATCCATTTAACTCTGAGTGGACACAGCACATGTTTCAGAGAGCACAGGGTTGGGGGTAAGGTCACAGATCAACAGGATCCCAAGGCAGAAGAATTTTTCTTAGTACAGAACAAAATGAAAAGTCTCCCATGTCTACTTCTTTCTACACAGACGCGGCAACCATCCGATTTCTCAATCTTTTCCCCACCTTTCCCCCCTTTCTATTCCACAAAGCCGCCATTGTCATCCTGGCCCGTTCTCAATGAGCTGATGGGCACACCCCCCAGACGGGGTGGTGGCCGGGCAGAGGGGCTCCTCACTTCCCAGTAGGGGCGGCCGGGCAGAGGCACCCCTCACCTCCCGGATGAGGCGGCTGGCCAGGCGGGGGGCTGACCCCCCCACCTCCCTCCCAGACGGGGCGGCTGGCCGGGCAGAGGGGCTCCTCACCTCCCAGTAGGGGCGGCTGGACAGAGGCGCCCCTCACCTCCTGGATGGGGCAGCTGGCCGGGTGGGTGGCTGACCCCCCCACCTCCCTCCCGGACGGGGCGGCTGGCTGGGTGGGGGGCTGACCCCCCCACCTCCCTCCAGGACGGGGTGGCTGGCCGGGGGGGGGACTGACCCCCCAACCTCCCTCCCGGACGGGGCGACTGGCCGGGCAGAGGGGCTCCTCACTTCCCAGTAGGGGCGGCCGGGCAGAGGCGCCCCTCACCTCCTGGACGGGGCGGCTGGCCGGGTGGGGGGCTGACGCCCCCACCTCCCTCCCAGACGGGGCAGCTGGCCTGGCGGGGGGCTGACCCCCCCCAACTCCCTCCCGGACGGGGTGGCTGCCGGGCGGAGACTCTCCTCACTTCCCAGACGGGGTGGCTGCCGGGCGGAGCGGCTCCTCACTTCTCAGATGGGGCGGCTGCCGGGCTGAGGGTCTCCTCACTTCTCAGACGGGGCAGCCGGGCAGAGACGCTCCTCACCTCCCAGACGGGGTGGCGGCCGGGCAGAGGCGCTCCTCACATCCCAGACAGGGCGGCGGGGCAGAGGCGCTCCCCACATCCCAGACGATGGGCGGCCAGGCAGAGACGCTCCTCACTTCCTAGATGTGATGGCGGCTGGGAAGAGGCGCTCCTCACTTCCCAGATGGGATGGCGGCCGGGCGGAGACGCTCCTCACTTTCCAGACTGGGCAGCCAGGCAGAGGGGCTCCTCACATCCCAGACGATGGGCGGCCAGGCAGAGACGCTCCTCACTTCCCAGATGCGGTGGTGGCCGGGCAGAGGCTGCAATCTCGGCACTTCGGGAGGCCAAGGCAGGCGGCTGGGAGGTGGAGGTTGTAGCGAGCCGAGATCACGCCACTGCACTCCAGCCTGGGCGCCATTGAGCACTGAGTGAACCAGACTCCGTCTGCAATCCCGGCACCTCGGGAGGCCGAGGCTGGCGGATCACTCGTGGTTAGGAGCTGGAGACCAGCCCGGCCAACACAGCGAAACCCCGTCTCCACCAAAAAAATACGAAAACCAGTCAGGCGTGGCGGCGCGTGCCTGCAATTGCAGGCACTCAGCAGGCTGAGGCAGGAGAATCAGGCAGGGAGGTTGCAGTGAGCCGAGATGGCAGCAGTATAGTCCAGCTTCGGCTTGGCATGAGAGGGAGACCGTGGAAAGAGAGGGAGAGGGAGACCATGGGGAGAGGGAGACCATGGGGAGAAGGAGAGGGAGAGGGAGAGCAAGACCTATGGTTCTTACAGAACTCAGCAGAATTTTTTTTCTAATTCTGTGGAAAATGATGTTGGTAGTTTGATAGAAAGAGCATTTCATCTGTAGATTGCTTTGGGCAGTATGGTCATTTTAACAATATTGATCCTTCCAATCCATGCACATGGAAAGCTTTTTCATTTGTTTGAATCATCTATTTATTTCAGCAGGGTTTTGTGTCCAGGCTTTAAATATACCAAAATCTATCTGTTCTCTTGTTAATGGTTATTGGAATTGTTTCTGGCACTTTACTCTTATGGAAATAGTTCACATGTATTTGTTCTATGCCTTGGATAAGAATTAATGAAACATAGTGTATGTACATATCTAGCTGTACTATGTATGAGAGAGAAACAGTTGATATTCCCATTAACGGGGAATGGCAATTTTCATTATCCCACATCTGAGCCAAAATTTTATTGTCATTATTGTTTGCCAAACTGTGAATTGTGAGATAGTATTTCATTGTTGTTTTGATTTATGTTTCACTTATTACTAATGAGGTTGAACATCTTTTTAAATGTTCATTGGACATGCATATTTCATCTTCATAAAATGCCTATTAGGTTTTTTTTGCTATCTTTATTTTTTAAAAAATTTTAATTTGTGAAAGTTCTTTATGCTGGTTGCACGTATCATCTCCCACTTTGTAGCTTTTCTTTTTCTTCTTTTTAAGATGGCTTTTGAACAGGAGTTACTGAGTTTAATGTAATCATATTAATTAATCTTTTCCTTTATGATGTTTACTTTATATGACTTTTTAATGTTTGTATTCCCTTGTTATCATAAGAACATTCTGCTATGTATGCTTCTAAAGATTTCATAGTTTTTGTCCTTCACCTTCAATCTTTAATTTATGTGGCATTCATATTTATGCATTATGAGAGGTAAGATATATTCATGTTTGAAAATATTGAAATCCAATTGTTTAAAAGGTAACTGTTTGTTGAGAAATCAGCTCTTTCCCCAGGATTACTATCTTGCATTTCCATAGGAGACTGTGTCTGTTCCTGGCCCCTCTGCTCTGCTCCACTGGTCTCTATTTCTTGGTCCCTGTACAATCCACATTGGAGGATTACTATATCAGTGGAATCAACTTCTGCTTCCCTTACCTTTTTTATCTTGGAAAGGAAGTCCTCTATTTGTCCTTTTTCTTATGCTGGATTCACATTATGAGCTAGGCAGTGCCTGCTAGAATTTATTACATAGCACGACATATGAAGTTTTAAGTTCCCATATCCCCAAATGTGAGATGGCATATGAAGGGGTGGGAAGATGCTGCAGTAGATCCAGTATTTGAAAAGTTTGCTCCCAGATGGCTCCTTTTAGCCACTCTGAAAATAGAATATGTCAGAGATGAATAGGTTGCAGAAACCAGGGCCAGAATGTGCACCGCCTCTTTCAGCTGAATTAACACCTCTGTGCGACGTGGCTTTGGGTTTGAACCCTTCTCTGTGGTTTGATTATTCGATTCTGATTCTTGACATACATTGTGAGTGACCATTTCAGGAATATTAACTCCAGCTGTTACCCTAACAATGCAGGGCAGTAGGCTGTGACCGTGTCTCCCATGAGGGGTATGCATGGGCCGGGGTTTTATTAGACTTTGCAAAAAATGTAGGAAAACTTTAATGAACTCAAGAAAACAACATTTTTATTAGACTTTAGTTTTTAGAGCAGTTGTAGGTTCAGCACAAAATTGTGTGGAATGTAGAGAGATTTTCCTTATACTCCCTAACCCCAGATATGCACGCCTCCCCCACTATCAACATCCCCTACCAGAGAGGTACATTGTTACAATTGATAAGCCTACGTTGACACATCATTATCACCCAGAGTCACCTTAGTGCACATTCAGCTTCACTCTTGATGCTGTACATTCTGTGGATTGGACAAATGTATAAAGTGTTGTCTACCATTTTAACAGCATACAGAGTAGTTTCACTGCACTAAAAATCCTTTGCGCTCCACTTAGTCATCCCTTCCTTCCATCTATCCCTTGGCAACCACTGATCTTGTTACTCTTTCGATAGTTTCACCTTTTTCGGAATGTCTTACACAGGCATATCTCAGAGACACTGTGAGTTCAGTTCCAGACCACTGCAATAAAGCAAATATTGCAATACAGTGGGTCACAACAATTTTTTGGTTTCCGAGTCCATATAAAAGTTATGTTTGCACTGTACTGTAGCCTATTAAGGGTGCTACAGCATTATGTCTAAAAATATATATACCTTAATTTAAACATACTTTATTGCTAAAAAAATACTAATGATCATCAGAGCCTTAATCGAGTCTGGTTTATTTTGCTGGTGAAGGGTCTTGCCTCAGTGTTGATGGCTACTGATTGATCAGGGTGGTGGTTGCTGAAGGCTGAGGTGGCTGTGGCATTTCTGACAAAAAGACAATGAAGTTTGCCACATCAATTGACTCCTCCCTTCATGAAAGATTTCTCGATGACTGGACACATAAATGGGTTTTCTTCACCTCCTTAGGATGAATCTCAGGCAATAAGAAGTCTATCTTGGTCTTTATTCTTCTCCATCTTGTTTTTCATTCTTTTTTCTGGCTGGTTCCCCTAGCCTTTCTTCTTTCCTGCCTCTGATGTTGTTCTCTCTCTCAAAGTTGAGTACTGTTCCAGTTGTGCCAGTGTGAATGTTCAGTTGCCCACCAGTGGAACACCTGCCCAGAATGAACCATGGGTGAGGGCTGGCCACATTGCCAAAGGGAAGCTTAGAGCTCATGCTGGTGCTGATTTCTCCATCTGCTGCCTGTGGCCTTGCCGTGGTTCCCCAGGAAGCCAACATTTACACTCCATTGCTTCTCAAGATCTTTGCTAAACCTTTATTCATAGAAAACCTGAAAGTCAGTCAGCAGCTGGAATAGCATTTAGTCATTACAGAATTGTGCCTAACCACATTTCAGAAATTATCCTTCAGAATTCAAAGATTTAAACTTGGTGACTCAATGGCAAATAAAGTAACTGAACCAAAGTTTGTTACCTTATAATTTAGTGCACAGTCCCCAGTCAGTATAGTATAATCTTCCAGGAGAGCTGAGAGCTTTTCCTGGTTGATCTTGAAGCCACATTTGATGTATCTCTGTCACTTCAGACAGCAGTTCCTGCTTCCATCCATAAAAGCTCAGAAATTTGTGATCTCTGGCCCATTCAACAGAAGGAGAGGCATGCTTAGATTAGCTCCACACGTGCACAACAGCCAGATGTTTAGAAGAAGCAATCATATCCTCATATTCCGGACCAGAATGGAAAGCTCCTTTTACTTATTGCTGGCCTTGAGAGCCTCAAATAATGCCATTGCTGGCTATAGCTGCTACTTTTGGTCATACTGGTTGAACGTGTCTTCTTCTGTAAGGAAGTGACTACTAAGTGTTCCATAAAATTTATTTCACGGAGTAGTGCAAGATCTCCACTTTGCTCTTGCCGTAACGATCAAGTAATGAGAAGATAATCTGCCTAATTTACAAAGATTAATTCTACTAAAGTTTTCTCAATAATTAAAGCCACAAAACTAAAACCAAACAAAAATTGAAAAATAAAACCATACTTCCATCATTATTCTGTTTATTTCTATATTTAAACAATAAATCTTGTGACCAGAGCTCCTTTTTCAGCACATGCTATAATTTCAGTGTTTGTTGCCATAGTGATGGGCTGTCATGTCTGTTTATACTGTAAAGGAAACCATTGGATGCTGGTCTTTTACAACGTGGGAAGAAGTCTCCAGGCTCAAAAGATGCACATGTTACCCTACAAAAGTATATCCCATCTGTTCCAGGAAATACCTAATGTCTCTCAGTCACAGGTTTTATATACCAGTTTTATGGGCTTAATTTAATGTCAGCCTTCTACCAATAAATAGATCCACTTTTGTGTGCTGCCAGATTAGGTTGTTTTAAGTGTGTAAAACCGATCAATCCCATGATCAATTCCAAAAGTAAATGAACACCACCCTACAAGTCTTTTGGGGTCACATTCTACTATGCCTGATAGGTTGTTGGTTGAGAGTATTTTTTCCTAACCTGAAACACACAACTGGAGTGATGGCCTTTGGAAAACAACCTTGTAATTGGGGGAAATTTCAGAACTGCCTCAGATAATACATTCATGAAAAATAAAAGGCTGATTGTGCCTACTTTTACAACATTTAGGACATAAAAACTGGGGCAAATATCACAGCCAGAAAGTCCCCTGCCTGACAGTGGACAAGCTTTATTCATTACTCATTTCTGAATTACCACATTTACCAGGATATTTGTCTAATTGCATGATTGACAAAGAACTATATTTTGTAAACTTTTAATGGGTTTGATCCTATTCTACCAAAGTAAGAAGGCTATATTTGGAGATTAACCCTTGTGTGGGCTTCTGTTTTTCTGCTTTTCTTTTTATCACTTCTTTGGATATGGCCCTTCCTGTAGTTAGTAAGATGTTTACCATTGCGCACAGAACATAGTAACTTTTAACCATTAGTATTGTAATTAAATCTTTGGGAAGATAAAAAAGATGGAATTCTGGAGATACAGTTCCAGACCTTGATTCAAGTACCGTAGACAATTTCTATGGATTCTACCTTAGTCCCTTTATGATGCTATCACAGAATACCTGAGACCAGTTAATTTATAAAGAACAAAAATTTGTTCCTCACCACTCTTGAGGATGGGAAGTCCAAAATCAAGAAGCCGGCATTTGATCTAGTGAGGGCCTTCTTGCTGCATCCTCACACAGTGGAAGGTGGCAGGGCAAGGCAGCCAAACACTGTGTGAAGCCTCTTGTATTATGAGAGATTAAACCCCTTCACGAGGGAAGCGGCCCTCATACCTAATCACCTCTTAAAGGCCCTGCCACTCAATACTCTCACATTGGCAACACCTAAATTTTGGAGAGGGCACATCAAACCACAGCACTACCTTCAGATGAAGGCTGTGTGGTGTGTGTTGCTTTCTGTCCCCTACTGGCATTCAGAATTCCCTTTCCCTGTGCACAGAGATTACTGCCAGGGGCTTGTTTGGAAATTCCTAAGAATACTGATGTCCACGCCTGCATTTAAAGCACGTGCAGGCATCACCAATCACCCTCAACTCCTATTGCTCTCCCATGAATTCACAATTGCTTCTGTTTTCAACTGCAGAGTTTTATGTATAATTAATATGCATGCTGAAGAGTTTAGTTCTAATGATCTAGGAAAGAGTATCATCATGATTTATTCTGGAGAAAGGAAATAAAATGTCTTAAATTGTTGCTACTAATTAATGGGTGCTGAGAACACTGGCTCATGCCTGTAATGTCAGCACTTTGGGAAGCTGAGGTGGGAGGATCACTTGATCCTAGGAGTTCAAGACCATCCTGGGGAACATGGTGAGACCCCCTCTCTACAAATTTTTTTTTTTTATTAGCCAGGCATGGTGGCACGTGTCTGTGGTCCCAGCTACTTGGGAGGCTGAGGTGGGAGGATCACCTGAGCCCAGGAGTTTGCAGTTAGCTGTGATTGTACCTCTGAGCCTGGGTGACAGAGTGAGGTCCTGTCTCAAAAAAAAAAAAAAAAAAAAAAGACATAATCTCGTAAAGACTTTATATGGAATAATGAGCATTGAACATAAATGTGATTAGGCACAACCAGGCAGCTTTACCTGACTGCACACCAGTGACTCTCACACTCGCGGGTGTGTTTCCCATTGTGGCTTATTAGTTTTCATTTCGGTGTACTTGTCTCTTATTTCTTTTCTTATACCTTAGACAAAGGTATACAAGTTTATTGCAGATACTTTGGAACTTACAAAAAATATATAAAGGAGAAAATTTTAAAAAATTATCTGCAGAGACAGCCATTATTAACATTTTGTTATTCTTTTCTTAGTCTTTTTTAAAGAAACAAACATATGCTTGTGTGTATGTATATATGTTGTTTTTATAAAATTGTTACTTAGTTTTGGCTGGGCGCAGTGGCTCACGCCTGTAATCCCAGCACTTTGGGAGGCTGAGGTGGGCGGATCACGAGGTCAGGATATCGAGACCATCCTGGTTAACACAGTGAAACCCCATCTCTACTAAAAATGCAAAAAATTAGCCGGGCGTGGTGGCGGGTGCCTGTTGTCCCAGCTACTTGGGAGGCTGAGGCAGGAGAATGGCGTGAACCCGGGAGGTGGAGCTTGCAGTGAGCCGAGATCACACCACTGCACTTCAGCCTGGGCAACAGAGCGAGACTCCGTCTCAAAAAAAAAAAAAATATGTTACTTAGTTTTCATACATACAGTTTGTATTTTATCTATTCTTTTCAACTACAACAATTTTATAAGAAGAATTTTTTTTAAAAAAATAACCAAAAGGTTCCCAGCATTGTCTCCACAATGGGTAGCCAGGTGCATCAAGGTGGGAGTGACTCAGCTCTCAGCACCTCTATTTGGAAGTTGCAGAGGATCAACTTCATGGGTCATGGAGGCTGAGTTTATGTGGGAGAGTTTGAGAGGCATCAAAGGCCTTCCTGCCCCCAAATATCTTCCTTGAATAGTTACTGTGATTCGGGGTGTTCCTATTATCTTATTCCCCAATAAGCAGTGTGTCACAACTTACTTTTGCCCCTGTATTAGTGGCATGTGAAGTGCAGGGCAGGGAGGGTGTTGGAAGATGAATATGAGGTCCCACCAGAATGCCAGTCAGCTCACCACCCTATCCACAGAGAGGAGCTGACAGGACACGATGCCTTCTGCTCTTGACTAAATGTGGGAGGGAATAATAAAAATAGCAACTATGATCAAACCGCAGCCACTCAGTGAATGACTGCTCAGCCTGCCATGAGAGAAAAGGGGCAGCAAGTACCTGACCTGACCTTTCTTCCGTGAAGTGCTTCGGCTGCTCAGGGGAAATGTGCTCAAACGTGTTTTTGAAATGGGAGATGAGATGTATTGTTTGAAGACCCTGATAAGGCCAGTAAAGACACTGCTGTGATTTGAATGACACATCTCAGAGGTTTATATAGGACCTCAAACAGCATTTCACAGCTAAACAGTCATATTTATTGGTGAGGTTTAGATGCCACAATTTCTTAAGAAAGCTGAACTGAAGAGAGAAGGACCCTTTCCATGTCTTGACTGTGCATAGCAAGATGATTTTTTCTCATGCCTTAGCAAAAAATAATTCTGCACTCTCAGTATATTTAAAAAGCACATACAGAAGCTTCTATCTTCATATTTGGAATGTAGAGCCTTTGAGGATGAGATAGTCATGGAGTTATCATCTGAAAAACAAATTGCCTTCCGGTGAGAAATCTGAGATTTCTGGGTCCAAGTTTTATTGGAATGTCTACAACAATCTGACACAACCAGAGAGTACTTGATGCTATTTCTGATTATTTGTAGTTTGAATTAGGACTTTATAATTTAGCAGAAATCAAGAATGAGAAAGGAATCAATTGGGTTTGGAATCTGATCATTTACCTGGATATAAATGCCTTAGTGAACCATTACAATAACACCACTCATTTTGCTGAGATGAAATCATAATGAGTACTTTTTAAAATTTTTTGTGTCACTTAAAATTTCTGATCAACATATTTTAAATTTTACTCAAATCTGTGGTAAGCACGTGTAACGGTGTCCATTATGTGGTCTACACCAACCAGAAAGCTTGCTGAGAGGAGGATATTGGACAGGGCTTCCTTGAGTGGAAGGGTAAGAAGAGAAAAGTGACCAACCTCAGGATTTTACCTAAATCAAAGTTAAGATTTTAATATGGTCACCCATGAAAGTCCCTGGCTGAAATCCGGCAAGTTGAAGTGAAGGAGGGGAACCAAGATGGTGAGCACAGGGCAGGGAGGGGAGAGTGGGGGTTTAAGTGACGGGAGGAAAAAAGACCATTCTGTCTAACAGTCACAGTAAAAGGATAGGTTATTTAGTTCTAGTCTTCTACTTTTTCTTCTGAAATTTAAGGAAATACTAAGAAATGTCAAGTATTTTGGGAATAGCCATCTTGGATTTTACTATATTCCTCATTATTTTAAACTTAAATCTTCTTGAACCTAGTAACTTAAATACATCTTCAGTTATCTCCGTCATCCTTGGGGTCCAAGTACACAGAAGGCAGGTGTTGGGGCATTTGCATCTCTAGACTTTTAAAGACGGTGATAGATGCCTGACCTTGTACAGAAGAGGAGCTTCCATGGTGGGGAGGGGGGGTGCGGTTTGTCTTGCCTTCTTACTAAGTGTTTGAATTTGTGTTTCCCATTTATTTCACTTTTATAAAGAATCTCAAAGGAACCCTAAGGTTTTCTTTATTATCGTGCATATGGCTTTCTAGCTCTGGCTCATCCTATAACATTTCCAAGAAGCCCTGAAAACTTGGGTGTGCAACCATGCTGCCCCCTCAACTGTAGGAACCACCGATCCCCTGGGTGTAGTACAGACTTCCTAATCTTTAGAGATATTTCTCTCCCTTCCTGCCTGTCTTCCTAAAACATTGGAGTACCTGCTGGGTGCCAAGAACCTGCTTGATGCTGAGGATAAAGTGGTTCACGGTATAAATTACTGCAGGACTGGGTGAAAAATGCTTTTCAAAAGCCATGAGGGGTATGAAACAAGTCCTTCAATATATTTGTTAATGTTCGTATTACTTAAATTTACTCAATATGGAAATGGCAATCGTAGCCTAGTTTTAATTAATCCTTTCAGACATTTTCACAAGGTCATCTCATTCCTCTCTTAATGATTCCAAAAATCTTGCATTGTATTAAGAAGCTGAAAACAGAAAAAAAGTATTTCTTGCAGTTTCATCTTTATTGAATTCTTACAGGATAGCATGAGAATAAATGCGCCTCAAATATCATGTGGTTACAGATCAGGGTGGCCTGCTCCGTGTCCTTGGCTTCTTTCGCTTACATCAGCCTGGTCATCTCACCTTCCGAGTTCTGACTTAATATCAGAGAAAAGGAAGCTTTAGTGGGTATTCAGAATAATAACAGAATATGAACTCCTCAGCAAGCATGCTGATAAGTACACCTTGCAACAAGTTACATTTTCACTGTTTCCTGCCTAAATTGTATGTCATGATAAAATTTGCATAACATTTTGCACTTTCTTAGAAATAATTAATAAAAATTTACAATAATAAAAATCATAGAGATATGTTAAAATGCCACTTTTCTAACACAAAATACGGCTGTCATACAAAAATTAGAGAAGGAAAATAAACGAACAAACAAAAAAGAAAACTCATAAATTTATCAACCAGAGATAAACACTGAAGCTATCTCTCCATTTATTCTATTTTTATATGAAACTCTATCTATATATTGGACCCATTTTTCCATTGTTCACCATCATTCTATGGCTGCATAGCATCTCATGTTTTACCATTTATTAACCAATCCCTTATTGTTGCCCATATGCTTTGTTTCTCGTTTTCCACCAGTATTACAGGCAGTGATTTGGTTGAAAAATAAACTTCTGTGCTATTGTGCCTTTGAGTTTGTAAAGAAAATGAAGGACTGACTGAAAACAATTTCACAACATTAAAAAAGGAACTCCCTTAGTTTTCTTTGGATTGCACAAAACAAAAATTTCAGCAGTTTGTCAAAGAGCTCTGGGGGAGCAAGTAACATGAGGTTTTCATTCTGGCCCAAAAGCTTGGAGTATTGTCGTAAGTAATTTATGCTATTACAAAAATAAGTTGAATAATAGTTTCATTATATTATTTAATAGCATGTATTGCATGACTCTCATGATTAGTATACATAGTACTGATGTGAATGATACTCATGAATATTTTAGAAACTTGTTATAAAACCTTTATTGACTGTCTTTATGTTCATCAACATCTAAATTATTTTAGATTCAGACCTGAAAGGATGCACACCAAAAAGAGACTAACACTTACTGAGCACTCACTGTGTACCAGGCACATAGGTGGCAGTTGGTTAACCAGAGGAATTACTGTGTGCCTACATTTGACTCTGTTAATAAGAACTGTTGAATCAAGCTTCTAATAGTATCTACTTAGAAATAGCATTCTCCTCTCTTTTAAATAATTAAATGATTGTCACAATGAAATGAAGGCAAGCAAAGCCATCACTATTTTATGTGAGAAGAAACAAAACATTAATCATTTAACTCTCTCTAGATAGAATAAAAGCATTCTGACAAACATATTAAACCCTTGAGCTCCAGAATAATAGCAAAAGCAAGATAACAATTGCCAAAACTGGGGGGAACAAACATAAAACAGAGTTTTTCCAAATATTTTCCTCTTTAAATATTTTCCCTAATCATTTGAGAGGTTTTCTTCTCTAAATATTTCTAAATGAATGTATTTTAATGTGGATTCATAAGTTTGCATTAAACAAATTCACAACATACACTAGTAATTTCCCAATGCTAATAAGGGCGTATTTGATGACTGTGACCCAAAACATTGAGTGATAATGAAATACTTCATTTTTGACTTATGTTTGTGTTTCAGAGTGGCATGCCAAAATTCTGTTTCTAGGAAGAAATCAAAAGCAATGTCTCTAAAATCATGCTTTACCAGGAAGAATGACTTAAAAATAATAATCAGGCATTTTCTAACTTTTCCAGTCTGTGCAACTGTCATGCTTTGCTGTGGGGAAACTGCTAGTTCTAACAGAAGCATAATCAAGAAGTTCTCAACAGTGTCTTTACAGTTTGAAATGTCTCCAAAGCTGATTATATACATGTGAACATGCCTAATATATTTTCACGGTCCCAGAAGGCAAGCCTTATAGCTTTACAAATAAATGTATGTATAAAGTGGAAATCTTCATTTTTAGTTTGTTAAAAACCATGATAATTATTTTAACTAAAATAATGCAGCATTGTAAAATTACCCTATTGAATGTCTTGATTTTTTAACCTGTTTCCCTGGTAGTAAATGAGGATGATTGAAAATCCAAATTGTTATGCATCTGGGTGCTACTCAGGCTTACAGAGCAAGAAGCTTGATGAAGATGATTTAAACACAAAGAGAATTCTGGAAAGCAAATGAAATGGACTAATTTCTAAATTGATGAAAATGTAGTGTTTGATTTTATTTTTCCGGTCTGGGTAAAGGTAGTTTTGATTTAAAGAGAATGGCCAGTAGCCCTATTCAGAGTTTAGAACCTTCTGGCTGGACAAGATGACTTTTATACCCAGGGCACTGCTGCACATGCTGCCTTCAATAGATTTTGAAGGTGGGAGTGAGAAAATGATAAAGACATAATCTGAAATAGCATAGACTGGGGACGTGATTGAAAATCTAATTTGTTACACATCTGGTTGCCACTGGAGGCTTAGAGAGCAAGGAGCTTGACAAAGCTGATCACTGCTGGTTCTTAATGTCCCCTGGCAAAAGCATCTTCCGAGGGATGCTTCGCTTTCTCCTGTTTTCTTTGTCCTGCTTTCAAAAGTGCCTCTAGGTTTCCCTGAGCAGTCTAGAGGCAGGATAGTTCCAGAATTGCCTAGTCCATTAGATCCACAGTCTCCTCATGGACTCGATTCTTTCCATCCTGCCAATGTGTTTGCTTGACCTACAGCAGGTTCCTGGTGGCGAAGACAGCTGCCAAACTTCCAGCAGGGCTGCCTGCAATGGCTGTGTCCAGAGACAGAGGAGGGGCTATCCTCTCAGTATCTCTTTCTTTAGGACAAGGACACGTTTTCAAGAAGCCTCCCATAGACATACACTCACATCCCATTGGTGCCTACTAATTAGATTCTATATTTGAGCTGGAAACTGACTTTTTCCAAAGAGGAGGTTACTCCTTGAGTAAACAGGAGTTCTAATAGGTGAATTGCCGGGCAATCCAGAGAGACCATTACAGGAGAGTCACAGGGTGAAAGGCTGCTACTCTTAGAAGTGAGGTAGACAAAGCCTGTTTGACCAAAAGATACACTTTTCATACCAGATTTCTCTGACTTCTTCAATCTGGAGTCGGGAGAAGAACTTAAAAAACTACCCTTGACTACTGGATCCCTTTCTGCAGAGATTCTGATTCCATTTATCTGGGGCATGGCTGGAGCATCAGTGTTTTTGTTTTGTTTTGTTTTGTTTTTTTAGCAACTCCCATGTGATCAAATCATAGGTGAAGATTCAGAATGACCAGTGAGGGCACAACCCCTTGCTATAGAATAAGAGGTGGCAGAAATGAAGATTGCTTCTTGCTGTTCAGAAAGTTGCTTGAGACATGGAAAATGAAAAAGCAGGGAGATGGCGAGGGTTTGGTGAAGAGTACAAATGAGCACAGGGTGGATCCTCCCTGTGTTCTGAAGGCACAGAATCGGGAAACTTTATAATAAGCTAAAAGGGATGTGAGTCAAGGAAGGGCAGAGTCAGGGGACTGCCACAGTTCAGAGCTGCAAACATTTCAGGGCAGCCACTGGCTCAGGCTGAGATGTTTAAGTATCCTGTAACAATTAAAGAAGTCAAGGGAAGAGACCAAGAGAGGGACAGTTACTTGGAGAGATGCATTTTGTAAATGTGGACAGCCCTACTTACAAGAGGCATGGAAGCTCCGATCTAGACACAGGTTCACAATCAGCCCAGTCTGCATCTGCAATGACATTGCATCTGCATCTGCATTGCACATCAGTCCATCTGCAATGACAACACAGGGCTTAGAGGCAGAGTGAAACACATATGCCTTCAATACATTCAGTGGGCACTAAAGGGAGAAATGAGTTCCAGGAGCGCCAGCAGAGCACATAGCTAAATTCTACAGGAACTTAGAAAGGTTCCAGGTGCCAGCTCCAGGAACAATACACCTTAGGAAGGGAGACAGCTCCATTGCATTGACGTCCAGAGTTGGGGATTCTGGGCATCTGACATTCTTATACAGGTGCACAGAAAACTGTTTTCTTTTCACTCTTCTTCTTTCTCATGAATTCTAAGTCTACACTGATTTAAGGTTGATGGCAGTTACCTTGTGGTAAGATAGTTATGGGCACAAAAATTGGAGGACAAGAGTAGGAGGTGAGGGGAACCCCTTTATAAACTGCTGTGCTATCTGGAAAGCTCCTGTCCTTATATTTCAAGCCTATGAGGCTGATGTCGCTTTAGAATTTGGGAGGGTAGTGAACAGATTATACTGAGGACTGGCTTAATCTAACTTTGGGATGAAGGCACTTGTTCCTGTGAAAGGCATCTTAGGCAGATACTTCCAGGGAAGATGCCAAAAAGAGGCTTGAATGAAATGATGACAAAATGAGATTAATATAGACTAATAATAAAAATTAGCATTTAAAAACTTAATTTTACTTTAAGATATTCTGGATACCAATCTCTGTTTTTAAGAATTTTAATTAGCAGACTCTGTTTTCCTGTGGCAACAGTGGGAGGGATTTTTGTTATTGGGATTTTAATGGCTCTGTGAATATTTAATTACTCTGGGAGAACTGAATAATGGGAGGGGCCTTTGTGGTGATTTAGTTAAATGTAGCTGGGCATAACTTCAAAGGGGAGTGGCATGGAGGAAGTGGCCTGGAATGACCCTAAATAACAACACCTGTGCTTGGCCTCATTGGCCCTGGCTGGCTCCCAGAGAGTGCTGGGCTGGATGAGGAACCAGCAGTTAGGAGGCAGGGTCAGGCCTTCCCTGGACATCAGCATTTCCTACCCTAAAGGGAACACCCACAAGGGAGGTAAACATAGGCTTGGCTAATAAGTTCACTGGTTGACAGAATTCAAGAGGACAATGGGCCTTTAGGGGAAGGCATGTTCTCAAACTCTTCTCCCCAAGAGACAGAATACTCATTAGATAGCACTGGTCTCACAGTGCTAGGGCAATAATAGTCCTATGGTAAGGGTCTTACAAGGACACACAGGTGACATCCCAGGGCTCTCCTCTTTTGTTCTCTTTCTTGGGCCTGTATAGAGCCAGCTGCTCCCTGTGGCTTTTGCACTTTGCATTTGTATATTCTCAGGGCTTTTTACCTAGAGGTGTGTTTGTAGGTGGAGGTAGGGAGATTCTCTTAAAGCTTGGGTTTAAGCCCCGTGCTTTAGTCCAACCACCAGAGTTCTCGGAAGTGAGGTTTCAGTTACAAGGTTGGTTAATAATAAAATGCCACTTAATTTCCCCATTTTCCATTGTCTCCTGATTCCTAGATCTCCCTGGGAAACCTCCTGCAAAGGACAGGGCCAAGACGGATTGGGCACTTCTTGGTCTTCTTGTCAAATACCATATAGTACCCCCTCACCCTGCCTCATGTTTTCTACATTGCACCCAGTGCCATGGTATTTCTGAATGTGTGTGCGTGGGACCTAGCATTTCCTATACTGCCCCTATTTCCCAGACTGCGGGTCCCCTCCTGGTTTCTCATGCTTCTCATTCCAGGCTGAAACTCATGTTCAATTTTCACCACAGTTTAATGAACATTTCATAACCACCTCCACCCTTGTTTATCTTCTGCCACATTTGTCTTACTCATCCAATCGCACACTTATGCCAGGGGAAAGTGGGGAGGGAGTCCTGCTGGGCTGCAGGAGGTCTGTATTATTCAGCAACTGCATAACAAACAGCTCAATGCAGTGGCTTCAACAACAGCTGCTTGTCTCTCTCACTCACGACACAATGTCTCTTGTTCCTTTCCTTGATTGCACTGAGTTTTTCTGGGAATATCTAAGTCTTGACTGAGTTGTTCACACGTTTGCACTTTCCAGCCTCAGATGGTCAGCTCAATCCTCTTTTGGAAGTATTCATGTTCTGCCTAGTTGACAGTCTTCAGCACTCCAGCACCATCACACTCTCCCTCAAATGCCATGCTCTTTGCCTGATATTAGGAAACTTTGAAATATTTAATTCTATCAAATAACTTGGAAGCAATTTTACTTGAAGTTTATAACAACATATTATAACAAATGCAATCTAATTTAGCATCCACAGTCAGATGTTCCATAAAAAAGGAAAGATATCAACTAAGAACAATTAGTTATTTTGGAGGAGTCTGTGCTTTGCTTCTTCTATTGTTTTCTTATCTTCCCATGCTTGCCAATGGGCAAGTTGCAGCTGGTACCCATGGCTTCACTTATTGGAGAAACTTGGAGTTGCAAAAGTTATAAATAACAACTGGATGTTTTTCTGTAAATGGAGAAGAGACCACCCATTTTCAGTTTTAGCAGAGGCAGCTTTGATGCATCTCATGGAACACTAATGTCCTACAAGTGCATCAAAACTTCTCCTGCACAGTCCCCATAAAGCTGCTCCATACTTGTCTCCTACTCACCAAACTCCTCAACTCACACACATTCTTTCATTATCAACCTCACCTTATCAATGAGAAAATAAAGGTCAGGTTTGATTCCTTTCAATTCTCATTTCCTTCACCCAAATTTCTATGTTTATTTACTTTTATTATAAAACTAATATGTGAATACGTATTTGTAAAGATTTCACAAAATAAGTAAGAACATAGTAAAATATGTTCCCCCCACTGGGAGAGAATATCTTTTCCCCCTTCTTCCTCAGTAATTGAATCCCCAAATTTATGTTAGTCATGTAGCCACTCAGAGACTTTTTCCCCAAGCTTTCCTTATAGCTGGTGACTAAATTCTGGCCAGGGGATTTAAATGGAAGTGGTGTGTGCAACCCCTAGGAAGTTATCAGAATGGGAGGGGAGATGTCTTTCCCTCCCTATTTCTCCTTTCTGTTGTCTAGCATGTATATGTGGTGACTGGAATTGAAGTAGTCATTCTGGACCACAAGGTAAAATTGAGAATGGAGATTTCACATGCTGAGCAACAAGATTAAAAGACTATGAGTTCCCTTACCATTGAGTTTACCACAACAGATTCAAACAGTCTATCTGTAATTTTATGTAAGAGAAAAAATAAATTTTTATGTCATGTAAGCTACAGTTTTTGATTATTGTTATTATTTTTTGCATCTGAATGACATTTCACCTATTCTCCCTTATTCAATCTTGAACTTCACCTTTGGTCCTCTTCTCAGAAGGAAACTGTCAACAGTTTGATGTGTACCTTCTTAGTCCTTTCTATGAATTTTACTCATATATGTACATACACCCACATATAAATATCTGTGGGTTGGGTATACTTTTATTCTAAAATAGATCAAGGTATTTTCCTTCTTCCTCTAATTTATGGAGAATGAATTTCTCTTCTTATTTCTAAGGATAAGTCTTCCACTTGTCTGTGCCCACTTTCTTTTGCATCCCTCTGCTTTACCTGTGACAATGGTACATTATCTTGGTTGGCTGCTCTTTGAACCACTTATGCACATTAGAAAAATATACTTCTGGTCTCTGCCATGCTACTTTCAAAGTTACATTTACATATAACTTAGAATCAAATTACATGGATTAGGAAACTCCTTGGCTTGCTTTCCCCAAGCTTTTTCTTCAAATAGTGCCCTGAGAAAATAGAGTTTTCAATATGATCCCCAACTCTTTAACTCATTCAAGAAATATAAATTTTTCTTGTCAAAATTCTCTTCTAAAATAAAGAGATCAGAAGATTCTGGGAAAATGGCAGGATAGGAAGCTCCAGGAATCTCTCTCCCAACTTAGACAACAATTACACTGGCAGAATCTGTCTGATGTAACTATTTTGGAACTCTTGAGTTTCTTGAAGGCTTGTAATTTGCGGGAGAAGGCTTGGAACACAAACTCTAGCTGATTTCAGTCAATTGTATCCTTTAGCACAGTAACAGCTATACATACCCCACCCTCAGCCCCATGGCAGGCAGCTGTGCATTTTTTTCCTGGAACAGCTTACATACATCTTGAGGGAGCCAAGGTGGGAAAAAAGAATGCTGTCATCTAAATATAAGGGATCTGTGCTCTGATCACTGATTGCTACATGTGATCACAAAGGTACAGTGATGTAGTGGCCATGTTGTTCTACTTTCCTTCATTGATGCAAGTCCCCCTTTCTCTGGCTGAAGTAATTTCCAGGGGATCTAAAGAGTTGACATCCTTTTTATCTCAGTCCTCCTTAATTTTTCCACTTTTTTTCCTTTTCAGAGACAAGCATTAAAGACTAGGACATTCAAAAACACTTTCAAATATGGGGAAAATTAGAAAGTGACTGTGCATGTCCAGGGAAAGGCATAGGCTGAAAAAAGACTTGAGAAGACCTAAGTTTACACCCCAGGATTATCCTTGGCACAGGGCCAGTTCATAATAATCAAAAAATCAAAAACAAAAAAAACCAATAACAACACTAGCAAATTGTGAGAGAGAGGAAAAATCTGATTTCCAGAGTTACCATATTACTAGATTCAAATGTCCAATTTTAACCAAAAAAAAAAAAAAAAAAATCACAAGGATACAAATAAATAAGAATGTATGTCCCTATCAAAGAAGAAAAAAATGAATCAACAGAAACTATTCCTGAAAAAGAGTTGGTGGCAGATATACTAAATACATACTTGAAAAGAATTTCCTTAGAGAAAGGATGATATGAAGAAATTAAGAAAACGATATATGAACAAATGGAAATATCAATAAAGAGACAGCAAACCTACAGAGAAACCAAAAGGAAATTCTGGAGCTGAAAAGTACAATTACTGAAATAAAACATTCCCTAGAGGGATTCAAAGGCGAGTTTGAGCAGGCCGAAAAAACAATTGGCAAACTTGAAGATAGGACTGCTGAAATTATTGAGTCTGAAGAACATTAAAAAGAAAAAGGAACAGAACCTAAGAGACTTGTGAGATGCCATCAAGTGGAACAAATCTGCACTGTGGGAGTCTCAGAAGGGGAAGAGAGAAGGGAAGGAGTAAAGAGAATATTTGAAGAAATAAGAGTAGAAATCTGCCAAATTTGATGAAAGACATAAATATGAACATCCAAGAAGCTCAACAAACTCCAAGTAAGATGAACTCAAAGAAACCCACACCAAGATATATTATAATTAAACTTTTGAATGCCAAAGACAGAGAGTCTTGAAAGCAGCAAGTGAGAAGCAACTAATTAAATATCAGGGATTCTCAGTAAGATTATTAGCAGATTTCTCATCAGAAACTTTGGAGACCACAAGACAGTGGGCCTAAATGGTGCTAAAAGAAAAATATACTGTAAACGAAGAATCCTGTTATATCTGCTAAAACTGTACCTCAAAAGTGAGGGAGAAATTGACATTCCTAGATAAACAACGGTGGGAGGCAGTCTTGTGGGACTCAGCCCTCAACCTGTAAGTTCTCTGGGCTAACTCTTGCTAGTGTCAGAACCATACTGAATTGTGGGACACCCAGCTGGTATTGAAGAAGTTGTCTGTGTGGGGAATCTCCCTGACTCCCATTGACATCTGGTCTCTGAGGTGAAGTATTGCAGTATTGGTGATAGCATAGATAGAAAAAAAATTTTTTCCCCAAATATATATTTCCTGAAACTATGGGCTCAAAATAGAGTACATTTTTTTTTTTCCAGCACATAAGGCTCTTTTGGGTGAGTGATAGTGTATGAAATTGTTCCAGAGTCACTTTATCGGTGTTACTGTTCCTGCCTCTGGGGAAAGTTGATTAGGAATGGGGTGGGCTGAGGTGTTCAGGAGCTGATGCCTAGAAACACCCATGGGGCAGTGGTGATTATCAAGGGCAGGTAGAGGACTCTCCATGGGAAGGGGCAAGCAGACAAGAGAAGGGGAAGCTAACAGGCAGCCTGTTTTTATTGGGGGCAGGTGGGTTTGAACAAAAGGCAGTACAACATATGCTGGAATGGGATTAGGCATGTTCAAGAACTGGTGCTTAATAAATAGATCAGGAAAGGCTGGGGCCCGGAGAGACAGGCCACAAAGCAGGAGGCAAAGCTGAGCCTTAGGCTGGGGTAGAGATGATCGACATGCTGTTTCTCCAGTCATTGATTCAGAAATATTGATTGAGTGCCTATTAGATATCAAGCAGGATTTAGAGGCATTGGGGCTACATCAGGGAACAAAATACAAAGTCTCTGGCTTTGTGCCACCATAGTCTAAGAATTGAAACAGGTGAAAAGTGAGGTAAGTAAAAGCACTGTAATCGTCCAATGAGTTCATCTTGCCTGCTGCCCAGAAAAGCCAATGCACTGAGAAGAGCAGGCTTTTGCAGCAAAGAAAGAGTTTCATAATTGCAGCGCCGGCCAAGCCAAAGGACAAGAGCTAATTCTCAAATGTCTCCTTGAAAGCTCACAGGTTAGGGTTTTTCAAGGATAGTTTGGTGGGCAGGGGGCTAGGGAATGGGGAATGCTAATTGGTTGGATCGGGGATGAAATCACAGGGGGTCAAAAGCTGTCTTCTTGCATTGAGTCAGTTCCTGGGTGGGGGTCACAGGACCAGTTGAATTATTAGTTCCTTGGTATGCGACATGAGTCATGAGACTAGGCAGAGTCAGTCAGTCACCAGAATGCAAAAGTCTGAAAAATACCACAAAGGCCAATCTTAGGTTTTGACACTGTAATGTTATCTATGGACGCGATTGGGGAAGTTACAAATCTTGTGACCTCCGAGCCATAAACGATTTTTTGGCGTCTTTTTCAATTCAGAAAGTGTTTTGGACAACCTTTTGTTTACCTTTTGTAAAGAAATGATTTATCAGAACATCATTTAGAAACTTCTAGGTAATTTTCCCAGTTATTTTATTTTAGATCTGGCTTTTTCTAATTTAGTGCACAGATAAACCCATTTAGGTATTTCAAAGGTACCCCATTTTGGCCATTGTACTTGGGGGTCATCAATAGTTATGCGAAACCATTTTTCTAAATATTTATGAGAAAAGGCAGTGTAAGTATTAAACATAAATCCAGTGTTTCTAAGAGTGGATCTCCTTAAGAAGAAAGACTTGATTTTAGACGTATGATTGCCCATAATTTATATTTTTCTTCCTGAATGACCAGAAACCTAGCGGGAAATATTTTGGATTGGGTATGCTTTTTGTGGAACTTGTTCCTCAAGGTGTCACCCTTGAGTCTTGTCTTCCATCTATGTGTCTGGGTGATCCCAAGGACCCTGGACACTTCACGTACTAGGTGATTAATGCTTACACGTGTCCAGAGATAAGCAAGGTTCCCTGCATGGTCTTCTTAAGGAATTCCCTGTGAGACCTTTTTACACCACGAATGTTAAGTTCTGACACTCCTGCAAGACTGTAGTCACCTGAGGCACCTTTCAGCCAAGAGAAGCAGGATTTCTTATCTTCAGGGCTTTTCTTGTCCTCCTGGAGCCTTTTATAATTTCAGTCATTCAAAAAGAAAGTTTAGATTTGTTAATTGAACCAAACTTCATAATCTGGCCAGCTTAAACATAACAAATGTTTCACTTAAGCCACAAAGATTCACACTGCCTCTTTTCAGAGAGAAATTGTTTTTCTGCTGATCAAAATTTTGAATGAGAGAAAAGGTTGTGAAAACTCTAACAAATAATTCCAAATAAAACCTTAACCTCAAAGAAATGTGAAAATCACAAATTTGTGATTAGCAGTCACTAGAAAACAACAAATGAAACTCCTGTCTTGCAGCAGAGCTTCAATCCCAACCCTGTGAAGTTACGAATGTGTGTGGCTTGAATAAAGCCTAAATCCTCAACCAAGCCTAGGAGGACTCAGACTGAAGGGGGCCTCACCAAAAATCCCCATTAACTCTTGTGACAATGGGTAAATGAAAGTGTCTTATGCTACTATCAGGGTTCCAGCCATTGGCAAAGCAATGGGGATCACTGGGGGTGCACTTTGGGTCCCTTTATGGTCACCAGAATGCCAACCATAAATAATGAGATTCAGAAAATCTAAGTAAGTGTAAAGTTTATTTGAGCACAAAGCTTGAGGATGGTCACCTGGGAATGGGGTCAATATGGGGTCACCTGGAAATGGGGTCAATATTTCCATAGTGAGGTAGTAAAGGTTTCACTTATACAGTAAAGGTTTCACTTATATATAGGCAGAGACAGAGAAGTTACAGCAGCATTACATTTTCCATACAAGACTGGGAGCACACAACACACAATTTGATTAGTTACGTTATTGAGCAAATGGGCTCACTTCCCAATGCACACAGATGCTGAAGCTATGTGGCACTGGCTTTTGAGAAAAGAAAGGCTTTCTTGCCAAACCTGCCAGCAAGGAGACAGTAGCAGGCTCAAATCTGTCTTCCTGATTTTGGGTCTGGGGCAAGTTTGTGGGCTCAGAGGGCAAGGGAAAGGATTTAGGAATGTTGCCTTGGCAGGATCAGATTGGAGGGCTTCAAATTTGACCATTTATGGGAAGGTATGTGGAGGTAGATTATAACCCTGGATCATCTGGGCCAACAGACCCCTTGCTTCTGAAACAGTTCTGGCATTTAGAGTCCAATCATGTCCCCATCTTAGTTCTGTGGGAAGGAATTGTTTGTTCTAGGTGCTCAGGATGATTTAAAGTTCCAGCAGCTTTTTGGCTATAGCATTCCAACTAGGCCTTGCTGAACTGCAAGCTGTGTGTCGAGCCAGCTGTGCCCTGGAGCCTGGCCTGTGCTGGCAGAAGGGGGCTTTCCTTCACGTTTACCCTGAAGGAACTTCAGCTACTCTAGTGGCCTTGGTGAGTCCTTGATCCCCTCAAGAGCTGGAATGGCATACAATTGCTCGGCCCCCAGGCATCCTGACGGCAGGAGGGAAGCTCTGAAGCATGGCACCTCCCCAAATTTGGTTCAAGGCCCAGGTGAGCAGGACAGGCCCCTTGATTTGATGAGCGCACCTTGGGGTTTTGTCCTCATTATTAGAGAGGGAGATCAGGGCAAGGCTGGAAAGACTTTCTGGACATATGTTTAATGGGGATCAAGTTTTTAAAATTTGCATGTTATATATTTAAAATATCATTTTTACCCCAAGCTGGTAAAGTCGGAAATAATGTTTGAAAACATAACTTGTGTCTAAGGTTTCAACGCTCTTTCTTCTCAGAGATGTGAGAATATCTTTGAGAAGATATTTGGATATTTTGAATGCTGGATCTAGTAGGTTTCCAATAAAATCTTATAAAATTGACTGAATACTGTGTTTTCCTTAAAAAACATAAAAGATTATTTGGAGATGTTATTAATGTTTTACAAATGATGATGTCCTCTCTGAGCTACAAACTATTAAAAACATTGTCTTCTACCATGACTATTCTGTTGTAGAATTATTCCTATCTTATGAAATACACATATTACTCTTTAAACTGTGTTTCCAGGCAACATAGATATTTGAATTTTGACTTGATGTAAGTTTAGCTGGCTACATAAAATACAGTGTAGTTCAGATATAAATTATATTTTCTTAAAATAATGAAAGTATAAATTGGAATTGTCTGGGACACTGGGACTAAACATTAAAATGAGCATATTTTATGTGGTAAGTGGAATTTAGAGGAAAATCTCTTGATTAAAAAAAGGTACGACTGGAGTTGCAGCAAGATGGCCGACTAGATGCAGCCAAGAGGAATATCTTCCACTGAGGGACTGAGGCATCAGGAAGACTGGTGCTGTCCGAGCAGATCTTTGGAGGGAAGGCATTGAGAGTGTATGGAGGGAGGACACAGATGCTGGGCTGAAGGGGGAAGAAGCTGGGAACCCTGCTAAGAGCTACCACACACTGGGATTTGTTCCTGGCCTCCAACAACTCCTGGGGAAGGGGCGAGTTGAACAGGTAAGGAGTGATCAGCTCTTGCCACAGATCTCTGGAATCCTGGCAGCAGGAGACCCCATGACCCTCATGGACATTTGAGCTGGCAAGGAGACCTGCTTAGAGAGGTGGTAGGGGCAGGACTCTAGCTTGTGCAGAGCCCAGAGAGCTTGGTCCAAGAACTTCTGCAGTGGAGCACAGCCAGGGACCCCTATCCCCCAGGGCTCACCATGCTCACCTAGGAGATTTTAGCTTTAGAGGAACTGTCAGACCAAAATAGAGCAGGGTGGTCTTGCCCATGAGATGAGGCCAGTCTGATCTGAGTGCCTGTCATCTGCTGGCCTCTCCCAGGGCCCCAGCCTGGCCATGGCCATTGGCCGTGCAGCCTCAGTTGCTACAACATAGCTCCTTCACCAGCACACTGCCCCCGATTGTCAGAGATCTCCAGCACAGCCCAACCTGAGCAAGCAACCAGCACACCGGCACCCTCCCCACAATGTAGACTCCCCCATGCCGCTTTGCTGGGATGTACTCATCCAGGGCCACTCCCTCACTGTTTTGCCAGCATGCACAGACAGACCTCGCATCCCCTCCCTTACCAAGGCTACTGGTGTGAAGTGCACCCCCTCTGTTAATATCCCATTCTGCCATACTTAGTAGTTATTGAGAAATATGAACTTCACAGTCCCTCTGGGAACACAAGTGGCCAAGAAACATCATTACAGATGCTGCATTCAAAAAACCCTAACTTCAAAACTTATTTACACAATTGCTTAGCTTTCCTCTTCCGTAAATGGAATTGTGGGATTTACTAAAAGTCATACAAAGCACATCCAATTTAGTATGCATATAAGATCTATATTTAAAAAATATTTAAACTGTTTTAAAGTAATTGGGAAAATACGTGTGTGTTCATGCTAAAATGGAGTTAAGATGTGTAACTTCGTTAATGCAGAACAGATTCTATCTTATGCATTGTAGGTAATGAAAAATGCACTTACTGTGTAGTTAAATTGATAAGTAGATTGTTATACTAATAACTTTGGTTTCTCTTAGGGTTTTGTAATAGGCTCTAATTCCAATTTCTTTCAGAATAACTTTATCTAAAGCTTTTGGAAATACTGTAAGAAAACAGAATTTCTAGAGGTGACGATTTTACCTGGTCTCAATCATTTCTCCCTAAATCTGCGGCATCACTGCAGTCAATATTGGGAAAACACTTCTATTATTTCCCATTATCTAAGATAACTGAACATTCACTTTTGCTTCCATTCTTCTCCTCTATTCTTGGGAAAATTGTACATTCCCATCTTGCTTGAAAACTTAGCCTACTTTTTCAAGTCAAGGTAGGAAAAAAACAAAACAAAATCTTACATCCCATTAATCTTGTGCCTGGCCTTCTAGAAAGCTTCTTAGTCTCCTGGTATCCAAGTCAGTTTTGAACCTCTTTCACTACACTCTTTTACTTCAAGGTACTTACCACACGTTGTAATTTTATACTGATGTATACGTTCATTTTTTAAGAGATTGCCTTCTCACCACTTCCCATGCAGTTAGGGAACATGTTGTTTTATTCACCATCATACACTAATTCCAAAATTATACTCACCCTGTAGTAGTTATTAAAAACATTTACTGAATGAATAAATGCTTTCCTGGATATCTTTAGTCCCCTTTTAAGAAGAGATTACTCATCGTATCATGACTAAGTTAGTACAAACTCCTAATATTCCCTCTGTTTTTCCTTATTGGATCTAAAAAATATATCTTCTTAAACCCCAGTGAACTTTTTTTTTCCTCTGGACTGAAATGATCTCCTGAGTTTCATTTTTCCATGTTAGATAATTTTCACATTAGTTTGAAAGCAATGAAATAAAATATTAATTTTCTAGTCCCTTAAGCATGAGAAAATACTTTTCTACTTCCAACAGAGCCATTGGCAAAAGTATAAAGCCATATTTTAGTTCAACAGGTTTTTCTGAATGCAAATGCAATAATTTTTTTGGTACTTTCTGATATATAAAATGAGAACACAGTGGCCAGCTATCTCAGAAACTTATTGTCTAATAGGATATAAAAATTTAAGGGATGTGGGAACTGTCAACTCCCCAAAAGACAAGAATAACCAGTTACTTTAGCAAAGCTAAATTTATTAGACACACTGCAGTAAGCGAAAATGCAATCTTGACAGAGGTAAGGGGTAACTCAGGGAGGAGGAAGATAGTCATATAATGTTAGGATTTGAAAAGAGAAATTTTAAGGTGGGTCTTGCAAGGAGCCGAACTGGTTGGGACTTGTCAGAATTTATGATGTACTGACTTTGGATTGGAGCCTGCAGAGAAGTGAGGGTCTTGAAGTGAGGCACGGCAAATCAGCTGTCAGTCTTTGGTACATGAGCTATCCTCATTTGTTCACAGTCTGATTTCCTGGAGTACCTACGTTTATTATGTTTATTCTCAGTATTGTTTAATATAGCCACAAGATGTATGCCCAGACACAGCGTTATTTAACACAGGGACAGAAAGTTATTTTGGTATCTGCTTTCAGTCCTTTATTTTCCTTATTCATTAGCCTTATCTGAAAAACAGCCTGTTATCTGGGTACATGATAAAGCCATCATGTACCCAGATAATCACTTAATAACTGCTTGATATGTTACAGTCATGTGTAAAGTTTCTGATAATTTCAATTTCTTGAAGCTTAAGTTTTCTATTTTCTTCTATTTTTGTTGGAAGAGAATTTCTTTTATCATTTTGTTTGATGGGACTGCAGCTATGAAATAACATTTGAGATTCTGGAGATTACACATTTAAGCTCTGCAACACAAACACTAATTTGAATTATTATTACCAGAACTATAGTCCGCTTCTAATCAAGCAAATGAGTACTGAAATTAAACCTGAGGACAGATCAAATTCCCCATCCAAATGGCCAGCAAAACTGTATATGGGGACATCAGCTAAAATGCCTAAGTTCACAAATCATATATTTTTTCAAATCTTTTTGGTAATATTAGAGATGTAAGAGAGAGCTGTCAGATTTAAGTACAATATTCTTTCCCTATATATTCTCCTGAGAGACCAGTATACTATATAAAGAAGGTCTTTTTTTTTTATTATACTTTTAAGTTCTAGGGTACATGTGCACAACGTGCAGGTTTGTTACATATGTCTACATGTGCCATGTTGGTGTGCTGCACCCATTAACACGTCATTTACATTAGGTATATCTCCTAATGCTATCCCTCCCCACTCCCCCAACCCCACGGCAGGCCCTGGTGTGTGTGTTCCCCGTCCTGTGTCCAAGTGTTCTCACTGTTCAATTCCCACTTATGAGTGAGAACACGCGGTGTTTGGTTTTCTATCCTTGTGATAGTTTGCTCAGAATGATGGTTTCCAGCTTCATCCATGTCCCCACAAAGGACATGAACTCATCCTTTTTTATGGCTGCATAGTATTCCGTGGTGTATATGTGCCACATTTTCTTAATCCAGTCTATCATTGATGGACATTTGGGTTGGTTCCAAGTCTTTGCTGTTGTGAATGGTGCTGCAATAAACATACGTGTGCATGTGTCTTTATAGCAGCATGATTTATAATCCTTTGGGTATACATCCAGTAATGGGATGGCTGGGTCAAATGGTATTTCTAGTTCTAGATCCTTAAGGAATCGCCACACTGTCTTCCACAATGGTTGAAATAGTTTACAGTCCCGCCAACAGTGTAAAAGTGTTCCTATTTCTCCACATCCTCTCCAGCACCTGTTGTTTCCTGACTTTTTAATGATTGCCTTTCTAACTGGTGTGAGATGGTATCTCATTGTGGTTTTGATTTGCATTTCTCTGATGGCCAGTGATGACGAGCATTTTTTCATGTGTCTGTTGGCTGCATAAATGTCTTGAGAAGTGTCTGTTCATATCCTTTGCCCACTTTTTGATGGGGTTGTTGATTTTTCTTGTAAATTTGTTTAAGTTCTTTGTAGATTCTGGATATTAGCCCTTTGTCAGATGGAGAGATTGCAAAAACTTTCTCCCATTCTGTAGGTTGCCTGTTCACTCTGATGGTAGTTTCTTTTGCTGTGCAGAAGCTCTTTAGTTCAATTAGATCCCATTTGTCAATTTTGGCTTTTGTTGCCATTGCTTTTGGTGTTTTAGTCATGAAGTCCTTGCCCATGCCTATGTCCTGAATGGTATTGCCTAGGTTTTCTTCTAGGGTTTTTATGGTTTTAGGTCTAACATTTAAGTCTTTAATCCATCTTGAATTAATTTTTGCATAAGGTGTAAGGAAGGGATCCAGTTTCAGCTTTCTACGTATGGCTAGCCAGTTTTCCAGCACCATTTACTAAATAGGGAATCCTTTCCCCATTTCTTGTTTCTGTCAGGTTTGTCAAAGATCAGATGGTTGTAGATATGTGGTATTATTTCTGAGGGCTCTGTTCCATTCCATTGGTCTATATCTCTGTTTTGGTACCAGTATCAGGCTGTTGTGGTTACTGTAGCCTTGTAGTACAGTTTGAAGTCAGGTAGCGTGATGCCTCCAGCTTTGTTCTTTTGGCTTAGGATTGTCTTGGCAATTTGGGCTCTTTTTTGGTTCCATGTGAACTTTAAAGTAATTTTTCCCAATTCTGTGAAGAAAGTAATTTGTAGCTTGATGGGGATGGCATTGAATCTATAAATTACCTTGGGCAGTATGGCCATTTTCACGATATTGATTCTTCCTATCCATGAGCATGGAATGTTCTTCCATTTGTTTGTATCCTCTTTTATTTCATTGAGCAGTGGTTTGTAGTTCTCCTTGAAGAGGTCCCTCACATCCCTTGTAAGTTGGATTCCTAGGTATTTTATTCTCTTCGAAGCAATTGTGAATGGGAGTTCACTCATGATTTGGCTCTCTGTTTGTCTGTTATTGGTGTATAGGAATGCTTGTGATTTTTGCACATTGATTTTGTATCCTGAGACTTTGCTGAAGTTGCTTATCAGCTTAAGGAGATTTTGGGCTGAGACGATGGGGTTTTCTAAATATACAATCATGTCATCTGCAAACAGGGACAATTTGACTTCCTCTTTTCCTAATTGAATACCCTTTATTTATTTCTCCTGCCTGATTGCCCTGGCCAGAACTTCTAACACTATGTTGAATAGGAGTGGTGACAGAGGGCATCCCTGTCTTGTGCCAGTTTTCAAAGGGAATGCTTCCAGTTTTTGCCCATTCACTCTGATATTGGCTGTGGGTTTGTCATAAATAGCTCTTATTATTTTGAGACACGTCCCATCAATACCTAGTTTATTAAGATTTTTTAGCATGAAGGGCTGTTGAATTTTGTTGAAGGCCTTTTCTGCATCTGCTGAGATAATCATGTGGCTTTTGTCTTTGGTTCTGTTTATATGATGGATTACGTTTATTGATCTGTGTATGTTGAACCAGCCTTGCATCCCAGGTATGAAGGCAACTTGATCGTGGTGGATAAGCTTTTTGATATGCTGCTGGATTCAGTTTGCTAGTATTTTATTGAGGATTTTTGCATCAATGTTCATCAGGGATATTGGTCTAAAATTCTCTTTTTTTGTTGTGTCTCTGCCAGGCTTTGGTATCAAGATGATGCTGGCCTCATAAAATGAGTTAGGGAGGATTCCCTCTTTTTCTATTGATTGGAATAGTTTCAGAAAGAATGGTACCAACTCCTCCTTGTACCTCTGGTAGAATTCGGCTGTGAATCCATCTGGTCCTGGACTTTTTCTGGTTGGTAGGCTATTAATTATTGCCTCAACTTCAAAGCCTGTTATTGATCTATTCAGGGATTCAACTTCTTCCTGGTTTAGTCTTGGGAAGGTGTATCTGTCCAGGAATTTATCCATTTCTTCGAGATTTTCTAGCTTATTTGCGTAGAGGTGTTTATAGTATTTTCTGATGGTACTTTATATTTCTGTGGGATCAGTGATGATATCCCTTTTATCATTTTTTATTGCATCTATTTGATTCTTCTCTCTTTTCTTACTAGTCTTGCTAGTGGTCTATCAATTTTGTTGATCTTTTCAAAAAACCAGCTCCTGGATTTATTGATTTTTTTGAAGGGTTTTTTGTGTCTCTATCTCCTTCAGTTCTGCTCTGATCTTAGTTATTTCTTGCCTCTGCTAGCTTTTGAATGTGTTTGCTCTTGCTTCTCTAGTTCTTTTAATTGTGATGTTAGGGTGTCAATTTTAGATCTTTGCTGCTATCTCTTGTGGGCATTTAGTGCTATAAATTTCCCTCTACACACTGCTTTAAATGTGTCCCAGAGATTCTGGTATGTTGTGTATTTGTTTTCATTGGTTTCAAAGAACATCTTTATTTCTGCCTTCATTTCATTATGTACCCAGTAGTCATTCAGGAGCAGGTTGTTCAGTTTCCATATACTTAAGCGGTTTTGAGTGAGTTTCTTAATCCTGAGTCCTAGCTTGATTGCACTGTGTTCTGAGAGACAGTTTGTTATAATTTCTGTTCTTTTACATTTGTTGAGGAGTGCTTTACTTCCAACTATGTGGTCAATTTTGGAATAAGTGTGATGTGGTGCTGAGAAGAATGTATATTCTGTTGATTTGGGGCGGAGAGTTCTGTAGATGTCTATTAGGTCTGCTTGGTGCAGAGCTGAGTTCAATTCCTGGATATCCTTGTTAACTTTCTGTCTCATTGATCTGTCTAATGTTGACAGTGGGTTGTTAAAGTCTCCCATTATTCTTGTGTGGGAGTCTAAGTCTCTTTGTAGGTCTCTAAGGACTTGCCTTATGAATCTGGGTGCTCCTGTATTGGGTGCATATATATTTAGGATAGTTAACTCTTCCTGTTGAATTGATCCCTTTACCATTATGTAATGGCCTTCTTTGTCTCTTTTGATCATTGTTGGTTTAAAGTCTGTTTTATCAGAGACTAGGATTGCAACCCCTGGTTTTTTGTTGTTTTCCATTTGCTTGGTAGATCTTCCTCTATCCCCTTATTTTGAGCCTATGTGTGTCTCTGCACGTGAGATGTGTCTGAATACAGCACACTGATAGGTCTAGACTCTATCCAATTCGCCAGTCTGTGTCTTTTAATTGGAGCATTTAGCCCATTTCCATTTAAGTTAATATTGTTATGTGTGAATTTGATCCTGTCATTGTGATGTTAGCTGGTTATTTTGCTCGTTGGGTAATGCAGTTTCTTCCTAGCATTGATGGTCTTTACAATTTGGCATGTTTTTGCAGTGGCTGTTACCAGTTGTTCCTTTCCATGTTTAGTGCTTCCTTCAGGAGCTCTTGTAAGGCAGGCCTGGTGGTGACAAAAATCTCTCAGCATTTGCTTGTCTGTAAAGGATTTTACTTCTTCTTCACTTATGAAGCTTAGTTTGGCTGGAAATGAAATTCTGGGTTGAAAATTCTTTTCTTTAAGAATGTTGAATATTGGTCCCCACTCTCTTCTGGCTTGTAGAGTTTCTGCTGATAGATCTGCTGTTAGTCTGATCAGCTTCCCTTTGTGGGTAACCCGACCTTTCTCTCTGGGTGCCCTTAACATTTTTTCCTTCATTTCAACTTTGGTGAATCTGACAATTATGTGTCTCAGAGTTGCTCTTCTTGTAGAGTATCTTTGTGGTGTTCTCTGTTATTTCCTGAATTTGAATGTTGGCCTGCCTTGCTAGGTTGGGGAAGTTCTCCTGGATAATATCCTGCAGCGTGTTTTCCAACTCGGCTCCATTCTCGCTGTCACTTTCAGGTACATCAATGAGACGTAGATTTGGTCTTTTCACATAGTCCCATATTTCTTGGAGGCTTTGTTCATTTCTTTTTACTCTTTTTTCTCTAAACTTCTCTTCTCACTTCATTTCACTCATTTGATCTTCAATCACTGATACGCTTTCTTTCACTTGATCGATTCGGCTACTGAAGCTTGTGCATTCGTCAGGTAGTTCTTGGGCCATGGTTTTCAGCTCCATAAGGTCATTTAAGGTCTTCTCTATGCTGTTTATTCTAGTTAGCCATTCATCTCTTCTTTTTTCAAGGTTTTTAGCTTCTCTGCAATGGGTTCGAACATCCTCCTTTAGCTTGGAGAAGTTTTTTTATTACTGATCATCTGAAGCCTTCTTCTCTCAACTAGTCAAAGTCATTCTCCATCCAGCTTTGTTCCTTTGCTGGTGAGGAGCTGCATTCCTTTGGAGGAGAAGAGGCACTCTGATTTTTAGAATTTTCAGCTTTTCTGCTCTGGTTTCTCCCCATCTTTTTGGTTTTATCTACGTTTGGTTTTTGATGATGGTGATGTACAGATGGGGTTTTGATGTGGATGTCCTTTCTGTTTGTTAGTTTTCTTTCTAACAGTCAGGGCCCTCAGCTGCCGGTCTGTTGGAGTTTGCTGGAGGTCCACTCCAGACCCTGTTTGCCTCAGTATTGCCAGCTGCAGAACAGCAAATATTGCAGAATGGCAAATGTTGCTGCCTGATCTTTCCTCTGGAAGCCTTGTCTCAGAGGGGCACCCAGCTGTATGAGGTGTCAGTCGGCCCCTACTAGGGGGTGTCTCCCAGTTAGGCTACTTGGGGGTCAGGGACCCACTTGAAGAGGCAGTCTGTCCGTTCTCAGATCTCAAACTCCGTGCTGGGAGAAATACTACTCTCTTCAAAGCTGTCAGACAGGGATGTTTAAGTCTGCAGAAGTTTCTGCTGCCTTTTGTTCAGCTATGCCCTGCCCCCAGAGGTGGAGTCTACAGAGGCAGGCAGGCCTCCTTCAGCTGTGGTGGGCTCCACCCAGTTGGAGCTTCCCTGCTGCTTTTTTTACCTACTCAAGCCTCAGCAATAGCGGATGCCCCTCCCCCAGCCTCACTGCCGCCTTGCGGTTTGATCTCAGACTGCTGTGCTAGCAGTGAGCGAGGCTCCTTGGGCATGGGACCCTCCAAGCCAGGCGCAGGATATAATCTCCTGGTGTGCCATTTGCTAAGATCATTGGAAAAGTGCAGTATTAGGGTGGGAGTGTCCCGATTTTCCAGGTACTTTCTGTCATGGCTTCCCTTGGCTAGGAAAAGGAATTCCCTGGCCCCTTGCACTTCCCAGGTGAGGTGATGCCCCACCCTGCTTCAGCTCACACTCCATGGGCTGCACCCACTGTCCGACAAGCCCCAGTGAGATGAACCCAGTACCTCAGTTGGAAATGCAGAAATCACCCATCTACTGTGTCACTTATGCTGGGAGCTGTAGACTGGAGCTGTTCCTATTTGGCCATCTTGGAACCTCAAGAGGGTCTATTTTGAACCACCACTTGTCTAATTCCAAGAACCTCTCAATAAGCAGTTCTACAGTCTTAGTACAATTGTCTAGTTTTTCTGGTATTTTCTGGATTATGGCATGTAGTATTCTCCCTACTTTTGTGCCTCATGTGAAATGGAAATAAAAAGCCTTGGGAATAGAAGTTAAATAGTTAGTTTTTGAATTCGAATGAAAGCTCAGATTTATCATTCTTAAATTAAATTCACCTAAAAATCTCTTTTTCTAAAAAGAAAAAATTATGAGCCAAAATGGGATGGGTGATATTAGGGACTGTCCTGAAGGCATATATCAATCCAGTTTGTGGTTAAGGCTCTTGCAAGAATAGTCAGAAAATAGTTGTATGGAGCCACCCAGTGATCTGTTCTCAAACAACATAATCCAATGGGCTGATTGAATAGGATAGTATGGTTTTAGCACCACTAAAGAAGAGTAATCTGAAATCACATGATGAAATTTTAGCACTGATATCATCAAATAGATCTAAAGCCAAAGAGCTTGTGGTTGAGTCTAAGTATTGTGCCTAAAAGTGAGATGGCCTCTTCATGCACCACTGCTTCCTTGCAGTTATCCAAAATATATTTATGTGAAAATTCTGCTCAAAAGGTTGTCACCTATGTGTGGTTTTCAAGTGTTGTGTCTGTGGATACAAGGGTCTCACTTTCTAGCTATTATCTAATAGGGAATTCTAGATTTCTGACTATCTAGCAGTTGTTTGTCATCTAAAATGTTTCTGAGCATTTCAGTCCAATTACCACTAAATTAACTGACTTACTGCAAGGTATTGGCATCACAGGAAGCTGGAGAGCAACCAAAAGAAAGTGAGTAAAACTGAGTAGTCTGTCCCATTCTATTTTTTTTTTTTTTTTTGAGACGGAGTCTCACTCTGTCACCCAGGCTGGAGTGCAGTGGCACACTCTTGGCTCACTGCAAGTTCCACCTCCCGGGTTCATGCCATTCTCCTGCCTCAGCCTCCCAAGTAGCTGGGACCTGCCACCACGTCTGGCTAATTTTTTGTATTTTTAGTAGAGACGGGGTTTCACCGTGTTAGCCAGGATGGTCTCGATCTCCTGACCTCGTTATCCATCTGCCTCAGCCTCCCAAAGTGCTGGGATTACAGGCGTGAGCCACCATGCCCGGCCTCCCATTCTATTTTTTAAGCACACCTCAGCTAATTTTAGCCAACTAGTAAACACATATCAAGGAGTAACTCTGGATGCAATATCAAGGTCAACGGAATTAATATAGTGTCATAGTTAAGAGGTAAAAATAAAAATTTAATAACAATCTAGAACTAAACCAACAAAAAACAAAGCAAATAATAGCTACAGTAATGTGGTAGACAGAATAATGGCCCTTCAAAGATGTACACACACTAATCTTCAGCACCTGTGAGTATGTCACTTATATGGCTCAGAATGTCACTAAAATAGCAGTGAAATTGCTCAGTTTTCCACACTTTTGGGTACAACTCAGGTTCCTGGGATAAATTGCATGTGGTCATTATGTGTATGTTTTAATATGTTGCATGACTTGACTTTTTCATTGAGGATTTTTGTGACCTTATTCAACAGAGATCTTGATCTGTACTTTTATTTTTTTGTCTTGTATTTGCTCAGTTTTGGTATCTGGGTAATATTGGCTTAATAAGGTGTGTTGGAAAGTTTGTTATCCTCTTCTATTTATTAAAAGAGTTTATAAGAATTGTTATTAGTTTTTTTTATTAAATGTCTGGCAAAATTCATCAGTACAGCCAATTTGGCCTGGGCTTTTTGTGTGTGGGGGAAGTTTTCTGATTACTAATACACTCTCTTATCTATCCATTCAGATGTTATATTATTTCTGATGTTGGTTTTGACAGCTTGGGTGGTTTCTTTCTTAGAAATTAATTTGCTTATTTAGTCTAAATTATCAAATGAGTTGGCATACTACCGTTTATATTATTACTTTGTTTAATTTCCATAAGGTTGAGTGATATCTCCCCTTCCATTCCTGATTTCAGAAATTTCAGTCTTCATGTTTTTATTTTTTTGACAATCTAGATTAAATTTTGTCAATTTTGTTGATCTTTTCAAAGAACCAACTTTTAGTTTATTGATTTTTTGGTATATTTTTCTTTTATCTATTTTGTCTCCATGTTAATATTTATTATTATTCTCCTCTCTTGCTTGCTTTTGGTTTAGTTTGCTTCTCGTTTCACAACATCTTAATGTAAAAGTTTAGATTATTGATTTGACGTGGTTCCTCTGTTTTAATATTGATGTTTAAAATTATAAATTACCCTCTAAGCACTGCTTTAGTTGCAGGCCATAATTTTTTAAACTTTTTTTCTACTTTTATTTTAGGTTCAAAGGATACATGTGCAGATTTGTTACATGGGTAAATTGCATGTTTCTGAGGCTTGGTGTATGAATAATTCTGTCATCAAGGTAGTGAGCATAGTGCCCGACAGGTAGCCTTCCAATGCATATTCCCCTCCCAGCTTCCCCACCCAAGGAGTTGTCAGTGTCTGTTCCCATATTTGTGTCCATGTGTATTCAATGTTTAGCTCTCACTTATAAGTGAGAACATGTGGTGCTTGGCTTTCTGTTCCTTCATTGGTTCACTTAGGATAATGACCTCCTGCAGCATCCGTGCTGCTGCAAAGGACATTATTTCATTCATTTTTATGGCTGCGTAGTATTCCATGGTGTATATTGTCCACATTTTCTTTATCCACCATTTGTGGGCATCTTGGTTGATTCCATGTCTTTGCTATTGTGAATAGGGCTGAGATAAACATATGAGTGCATTGTCTTTTTGGCAGAATGATTACTTTCTTTTGGGTGTATACCCAATAAGGGATGGGATGGCTGGGTTGAATGGTAGTGATGTTTTAAGTGCTCTAAGAACTTTCCACACTGCTTTCCACAATGACTGAGGTAATTTACATTTCCACCAGCAGTGTCTAAGTCTTCCCTTTTCCTTGAAACCTTGCTAGCACCTGTTGCTTTTTGACTTTTTAATAATAGCTATTCTGACTGGTGTGATGTGGCATCTCATTGTGGTTATGATGTCCATTTATCTAATGATTAGTTATGTGGAGCATATTTTCATATATCTGTTGGCTACATGTATGTCTTCTTTTGAGAAGTGTCTGTTCATGTCCTTTGCCCATTTTTGAATGGGGCTATTTGTTTTGTTTGCTGACTTGTTTAAGGTTCTTATAAATTCTCGATATTAGACCTTTGTCAGATGAATAGTTTGCAAATATTTCCTCCCATTGTGTAGTTTGTCTGTTTACTCTTTTGATGTTTTTTTTTTTTCTGTGCAGAAGCTCTTTAGTTTAATTAGGTGTCACTTGTTAAATTTTGTTTTTGTTGCAATTGTTTTTGGAGACTTAATCATACACTCTTTGCCACAGCCAATATCCAGAATGGTATTTCCTAGGTTTTCTTCTAAGGTTTTTCTTGTTTTAGGTCTTACATTTAAGTCTTTAATCCATCTTGGTTAATTTTTGTATATGGTGAAAGGAAGGAGTCCAGTTTCAATCTTCTGCATATGACTAGCCAGTTATCCTAGCACTATTTATTGAATAGGAAGTCCTTTCCTTATTTTTTGTTATTGTTGATTTTGTCCAAAATCAGGTGATTATAGGTGTGGCCTTAAGGCACATCTCATATGGTGGCAGAAAAAAGAAGAGAGCTTGTGCAGGGAAACTCCGCCTTATAGAACCATCAGATCTCATGAGACATATTCACTATCACAAGAACAGCATGTGAAAGACCTGCCCCCATGACTCAATTGCCTCCCACCAGGTTCCTCCCACAACACATGGAATTTCAAGATGAAATTTGGGTGGGACACAGCCAAACCATATTAAGTACCATACTGTTTTAATTGCTGTAGGCTTGTCATATAGTTTGAAGTTGGGTATTGTGATGCCTCCAGCTTTGTTCTTATAGGATTGCCTTGGTGATTTGGGCTGTTTTTTTCCATATAAATTTAAGAATAGTTTTTTTCTAGTTCCATGAAGAAGCTATTGGTAGTTTAATAGAAACAGCATTGAATCTGCAGATTGCTTTGTGTGGTATGGGCATTTTAACAATATTGATTCTTTCCATGAGCACGGAATGTTTTTTCATTTGCTTTTGCTGTCTCTGATTTCTTTCAGCAGTCCTTCTTGGTATATTGGTTTTTTTACTTTTTTTTTTGTCTCAAACGATTTCCTAATTTCTTATGTGATTTTTTCTTTCTACAATTATTTATTGAGGGTGTGTTGTTTGATTTCCACAAATTTGTGAACTTGCCAAATTTCTTCCTGTTTTTAATTTCTAATTGTATTACATTGTGGTCAGATGATATATTTTGTGATATTTTAACCTTTTTAATTGTATTGAGGCTTGTTTTTGAGTCTAACTTATTTTCTACCCTGGACAATGTTCCATATGTGCTTGAGAAAAATGTATATTCTGCTAATGTCAGGTGGGGTGTTCTACAGATATGTTAGTTATAACTGGCTTATAGTGTTTTTTAAAGTCTTCAAAATCCTTATTGATATTCTGCCTAATTGTCCTATCTATTTCTCAAAGTGGGGTATTTGATTTGTCAATTTTTTGATAATTATTTTTTCCTTTTTTTAACTTTCATTTTAGGTTCTTTTATATTATTTTATCACCTAGGTATTAACCCCAGTGCCCAATAGTTATCTTTTCTGTTCCTCCCACCCTCTCCTCTCAAGTAGACCCCAGTGTCTGTTGTTTCCATCTTTGCATTCATAAACTTTTATCATTTAGCTCCCACTTATGAGAACATGTAGCATTTGGTTTTGTATTCCTGCATTAGTTTGGTAAGGATAATATCCTCCAGCTCCATCTATGTTCCTGCAAAAGACGTGATCCCATTCTTTTTTATGGCTGCATAGTATTCCATGGTGTATATGTACCAGATTTTCTTTAACCAAGCTGTTACTGATGGGCATTTACGTTGATTCCATGTCTTTGCTATTGATGATTCACCAATTATTTTTGAATCTTCTATTTCTCTTTCCAAGTCTATTTGTGTTTGATCTATGTATATTAAAGCTTTGCTCTTAGGTGCATATATGTGTATAATTACTATGTCTTCATGATGAATTGATCTTTTATCATCATAAAATGTCTCTATCTCTGGTAACACTTTGTATTTTGTGGTTTGCTTGCTACTAGCATATCCAATCAAGCTTTGTTACAGTGCTGTTTTTGCAGTATATGTATTTTCATTCTTTTAATTTCAATCTATTTGTATCTTTGAATTGAAAAGGTTTCTCCTGTAGACAACATTTGTTTTATTTTTCACTCACCTTGACAACCTCTGTCTTTGTATTGGATTGTTTAATTCGTTCACATTTAATGTTATGATTGATAATATCTGATGTACAGGTATTTTACTTTCTATGTCTGATATCTCTTTTGTTCTTCTCTTCCACCATTACTATTGTCTTTTGCATTGTGAATATTTTCTAGTATAACATTTTAATTCATCAAATTATTGTTCCATCATAGTTTTAGTTATTTTCTTAGTGTTTGTTCTATGCTTATATTATATGCATCTTATCAGATATGCTTCAAATTTAGACTAGCTTAACTCGAGTGTGATATCGAAATTCTACTGCTTTATAGCTTATCCCTTTCTCCCATGCTTTGTAATCTTATTACTCTACATATTACATCAATATATATCACACACACACTACATTGCTCTAATTATCATCTTATATAAGTTTATGTATTTTAAAGCAGTGGTCCCCAACCATTTTGGCACCAGGGACTGGTTTCATGGAAGACAAATTTTTCCACAGATGGTGAGGGTCAGGGGTGTGGTTTCAGGATGAAACTGTCACGCCTCAGATCATCAGGTTCATAAGGAGACTCATAACGAGCACGCAAACTAGATCCCTTGAATGTGCAGTTCACAATAGGGCTCATGCTTCTATAAGAATCTAATGCTGATGCTGAAGTGACAGGAGGCAGAGCTCAAGCAGTAATGTTCGCTTACCCCCAACTCACCTACTTCTGTGCAGCCTGGTTCCTAACAAGCCATGGACTGGTACTGGTCTGTGGCCTACGGGTTGGGGACTACTGTTTTAAAGAATCTGATAGAACAAAATGGGGAAAAAGATACATGTTTATTGAGTTGGTAATATTAACCTTCTTATTTAGCGTTTCTGCTTATCTTTGTCTATTACTGTGGATTCAAGTTACCATATGGTGTCATTTTCATATGGCAATAAACTTTGCTCCCATTCACCTTTGTCAAAATATATTTCATTTCTGTAGGTTATGGGCCCCACAGTACAATTACAGTACTGTAATTTTACAGTACAATATATATACAGATATGTAATTTTATACAATTATTTTAAATTCACTCAACAAAAGAAAGCAGAATATGCAATTACACAACAGCTGCTTGAAGTCTTTGTTTGCTAAGTCCAACATCTGTGCTCTCTCAAAGGCAGTTTTTCTTGCCAGCTTTTTAAACCCCTGAACATATTTAAATCTTCTTCTTTGTTGGTCTATTAACTTATAATTTTCAGTTGAAAACTGGATATTATGACAATATATTTTAGCAACTCTGATATTATCACCCCACCCCCAAAGTAGTCATTATTGTTTGCTAATTTGTTTGTTTGGTTTTTAGTGACTTGGCTGAACTACTTTAGTGAAGACAATTTTCCCCAAGTGTGCAGCCTCTGATGCTGCTTTTCAGAGGGTACAAGCATGGGCATGCACACACTCATTCTGACTCCCCCACCCCACTGGCATGACAGTGTTTTCGTCCAGGCTCTATTTGACTATTTCTTTCTCTGAACTCCCTGTTCAGCTACTGGCTGCTCTGCTGTACTGGTATCAGTACTGTACGGGAATCAGACACAGATGTTAGCATCTACTAATTTCTAGCATCTACTAATTGCTTTTTTATTTTTGACAACATCATGGGATGTAAATTAGTCTGTAGTTTGATGGAATTAAAGCTGGGCTTGTTCACAGGGATAATCTTTGAGGCCAGACTTTGAGGCTTCTTCCCATCTGCAGGTGGACTCCACTAAGCTATTTTTTTCTTTCTTATTTCCGTTAAACTTATAACTGTCTCATATCTTTGCTGTTATTGTTACTACAGAGCTTCAAGACCACTTTTAGTTGCTTATCACTAAATTTTCTTCCTTTTTTTTGACAATGCCCTTAGATCTGAACTTTCCCATACTCTGTCTCATGTAACGTGAGTCCTCTTAGAGAGAACTATGGAGTTCTTTATTCCTATGACCTTTCTCTCCCCACCATGGGGAGAAAACAGATGTCACTGCTTCACAGTGTGGGTGCAAGGACAGCAGAGTACTTCTCATATAATGGCCCCTGTTCTGTGTGTAGGGTACAGGTCATGGTAGTAGCTGCTGGTATTGTCTTTCTTCTCCTGTAGTGGAACATCTGGCATACACAGAATGTGGGGGAAGTGTGATTAGGCTCCAGTATTCTTGGCCTATCATGTCTGGTATAGGACTTCTTCTCTTTAAGTGGGAGCTCGGTGGAGAAAGGGAACCCCCAGCAACTCTACTGGTCTTGCCTTGAATGGGGCTCCTGCAACTTGGAGCTAAGGGGAAGGGGGAAATAGTGGTGGCCTATTCCCCCTAGGGGAATACCATAACCTTAGATTGGGATCTGGGGTAAAAGAGAGCTGCATCTTCTTGGCAACATATGCCTGGAATAGAATGTCCATCAATTTGAGCTGGGGAAGTCATAGGGAGCAAATTATGGCTCGAATGTTATTGACTGTTGCTGTTCTTACCATGACTTAGTAGATTTCCTTGAATAAACATTTCTCCATTTGCTGTATGACCTTAGGCATCCAGATATTAAAATATTATTTTTATAATTATTACCGGTTATTGTTTTACTAGAAAGGGGATCCACAGAGCTCCTTACATCACTATTCTAGATGTTCTTTTGACCTGGCACTCTTGTATAGATATATCACAATTTATAGCATCCTTAAATATTTTTTTCCATTTCTGACTACTTTTCAGATTATTTTTTATTATCACAGAAAATGAATCACTATTTGTAATCACCTCATTTGGGGAGGGTGTATTTCAAAAGAGCCAGATGAGAATTTAGACATCAGCATTTTCTGCTTTCTTCTTCCTACCCCTAATGGAGGTTTAAACCATGCAGTTGGCAGGTGGCTGACATGGAGATGAAAGAAGCACAGAGATCCAAGTCGATGTCTTAATTTCTGGCCCTGTTTTACAACCTTCTTCAAACTCATTGTTGAAGTCCAGGAAATGTTTCTGTCTCTTGCCTGGCTCTATGGTGGGAAAACAACTCTCATATCATCACCTCGTATCTCCCATATTCTGCTTTTTGGTTTTTGTTGTTTTTAATAAAATACATGTTTCAGGTCTGTAAGCTCTGAATTTTAGAATCGAAATGACTTTCTCTATTACAATAACTACAGTTACAAATAAAAAGTGTTTTTGCTTTCAGTAAATTATCTGTTTAGTAAGTTTTCAAGAACTAAGTTGAAGGGTGTAGCTATTTATTCCTGGCTAGAGTAAGACATGCAGAAATCTATCACTACTGCCCAGCTGTTGAGAGTATGGAGGCAACAAACACAAGGAAACTTGAACAAAGCAAAGTCAGTTAACATCTCAAAATATTATTTTGTTATTACTTTAAAATTATTCAATATATTACACAGTCCTCTTATTTGTTGGAAATTGTGGGATGATAGATCTACAGAAGGTAGCTGCTAACGAAAGTCCAGTTGGCTCATTATATTCTTTAAAATCACAATATAATATTTAAGAGAAAGAATAAAGGAATGGGCTACTTTACTTTCATATGTTTGTTTTTAACATAGTGATTTCTAAGACTGGTTTCTCCTTAGCTCTTTTCAGACTAACCATTTCTATATGAAGGAGCCCAAAGCTCCCTAAATGTCTCTGACATGCCATGTTCATCTTTGTGCATTTATAGAATGTTTTGGTTTTGCTGTTTGCACAGGCTTCAGTTGAGCATCTCTGTTCTGCTTTCCTATGTGAGCTCCACTTGAATGCGTCAAGCTGCATTTTGGAGTATGCCTGAAAGTTAACACCATTACAGCAAAAGGGTAACTTTTCACTTAAAAGAAGCTATAAGTTGATTATAAATTATTTTTTAGAAAACAAGAGTGTATTTTAAAAAAACTTATTAATATTAAATGAGAAAACTTCCAAAAAGCTAAATAATTTCTTCTCCAGTTCAGAAAATTTATTAGCTTAAAGCCAGAATAAAAGCTTGAGGATCTGCTTGATCATGTCTGCTGTTTAACCCCTCTCTTGAATTTTTTTATTTCAGTTATTATATTTTAGCTCTATAATTTTAGTTTATTTCTATTTTATAATTTTTTTTAAAAAAAATATCATTTCTCTGAAATTTTTAGCTGTTTATCTATGTTCTTTGTAACTCACCGAGCTTCTTTAAGATTTTTAAAAATTGCTTTTGGTAAGGTAATTCATTAACTCCATTTTTAAAGAATCAGTTACTAAAGATTCACTTCATTCTTTTTGATTGGGTCATCTTCCCCTGATTCTTGATGTTTGTTGTAGTTTGTGGTGGTATCTGTATATTCGAAGAAGCAGTCCCATCTCCCAGCATTTACAGATTGCTTTAGCAGGAAAAAATCTTCACCCATCAACCTTGGTACAGATTCCGAGAGCTTGTCAAATATTTTCTGTAAGTTTGTCTTCTCTGAGTTGAACATGTAGTTTCTTAACTACAGGGATTTACTGGGTTCACCCCCAACACAGGACCATAATTTCTTCCTCACTTTGGTATCTGACTGCTGTACTATGGGCCAGAACGTTGGTGGCATGCCAGTTACGTGTGTTCACACTCTGTTAGATGTGTGGCAGGCCAGGAATGAATCAGCAAATAATCTCTTTCCCAACATTTAAACTAATTTATTTCATTCTCCACTAGTAATGGTTTAGCCGAGAAGGAATGTGAAAGACTTTTTCATCAATCCCATGGCCTTGGTGGAGAAGTAACTCCCTGGTGAACTGTGTGTGTGACCACAATGGGCTGAGGCATGTGGACAACGCTGGAGGCAGAGCTGAGTGTGAGCAGAGGCTCACAGTGAGGCAGGGGCATCAGCATTGAGTCCAATCAACCCATCAGGACACCTGCTGCATGGAGGTTGTGAGCACTGAGGTGCTGAAGAGGCTCTCACTCTGTCTAAGAGAGTGTCCCGAGCAAGACAAGCAGTCCTAGATGCCCAGATTCTTGTTTTGGCTTCGGATCTGGGCAAAGGGAAAGCAAAGCAGCTGTGCTCAGATCTGAACTTGTTGGACATGTTGTGTTGAAACTTTACTGACATGTATGGGTGTAAATCTGCCAGAAGCTGAAGAACTCATCCGTGATGAAGATAGCTCTGATTTGAATTCATAGTCTATGACTCCTGGAAAATATCAGGCAAAAGAGCAGAAAACACCTTTAATCAAGCCCATACACTCCACTCTCTGTTGGATTCAACACAAGGAGAGTTCCTTGTGCCAAAGTCCCAAATCATTAGTCCAAGAAAACTTCCTATGATACAAAAGGAGACGATAATGCCTGCCCAGTTAAAAAGAAGGGAAGAATCTCATCAAGAAACAACAAAGAAAGAAGTAGAAAGAATCTTGGGATTGTTGCAGTTGTATATTCGAGATGCTACCCAGCGTCCTTCTTTGCCTTTGTGGTTGATCCACAATCTTTCCCCCAAACAGTGGAAAACATCTTTCATGTTTCCTTCATTATACAGGATGGTTTTGCAAGAGTAAAACCTGACCAAGACCGACTGCAAATAATAGAGCCTGTTAATATTAATGAAGAAAGTGAGGAAATTCACCAAAACACCCAAGTTAGGAATCGAGGAATTCTAGCTGTGAGGTACCCTGACTGGGAGGAGATTGTGAATACCTTTGAGATTTCAAAGCCTGGGATTACTCCAAGTCAGAGACAGCAGAGGCTAAGTGCTTGACGCTAGCTGAAGGACTCAAATGGATAGTGAAGTCCAAGAGGGAAAGAAGCATGTATTATATACAGTGTATGATTCAACATTTAAAAAGACAGATTGTTTTTAGTAAAATGTAGCTTTTGATATTTAATGAATTTGTCATGGTTGTTTTTGATTACAGGAAATTCACTGCCATATTAAAAAAAAAAAGCTGCCACACTTTTTTCCCATAGTGGCTATATCATTTTAAATAAATTACCACCAGCAATATGAGTGATCCAGTTTCTCCACATGCTCACCAGTATTTGGTACATTTTCCGTATTTTGCTTAAAGCATTCTGGTAAATTTGCCATAATATTGCAGTATGATTTCAATTTGCATCTCCGAGAAATAGCTAACATATTTTCATGTGGATACTTGCCATCTCCATCTCCTCCTCAGGGAAATGTCACTTCACATCTGTTACCTAATGTAATTGAGTTTTTCCCCACTGTGGCATTCGGAGTGTTTTTCACATGTTCTGGATACTACCCTTTGTCAGATATGCAGCTGGCCAATACTTCCTTACGTCTGTAGTATGTTACTTTATCCCTTTAAAGGGGACTTCCACAAAGCTTAGTTTTCTAATTTTGATGAATTCCAATTTACTCTTTGGTTGCTTTCTCTCTCTCTCTTTCTCTGTCAAGGAGAACTTTGGAAAACACTGTTATATATTTTGTAGGAATGTAAGATTAAACTTTATTTCTAAGACATATTTTCTTTCCATTAAAAAAACAAGGTTTTACTGAAAAATTTAAAACTAATTTATGTATTTACATGTATTTTTAATTACCTATACTACTAGAAGGCACTTTTCAAATAAGTATCAGTATTTTAAGAATGTAAAAGAAAAAATTAAACATGCTGAATAAAAATTTATAGTTAAAATCTATCCCATCCCTAATATACAGGAGTTTGAATATAAATTAGTAAAGTTTTAGTCTAAAATGACTAGATAGTATAATAATATCTATCTTGAGAACTGATACAGCAAGTAAATGAAAATCAGTTTATAAAGAGAATGGAGTAGGGGACCTAATGTCATTTAAGCCTCTCTTGTTTTACAGAAAATCAATTTTTGTAAGTCACCAAATAAAAAATAAACATACTAAGAAGAATGTTTCTCCATTACATTGTAAAGAAAACAATCTTCTGAGCTGGAGGACTGTAAGACCTGGATGTGTAACCTGAGACTATCAAAATAACTCATTTGTAGACCATTTGACTTCCTTCCACAGCCCGCCTAGCATGTACAAACACCCACTGATTGAAAATCTGTGGAATAGTCACTTTCAAGTAAAAGAGGCGCACATGAAGGTGTACAATGTGATTTTTGTAATTTTTATGAAGTTGAAGAACTGTCAAAAATGATGTATAAAATAAAAATCAAAACAGGGCTGTGTATGGTAGAGTGGGTGGGCCTGTCTGAAATGTCAGAGGGGATTTTCTGTGCTGATATGATCCATATATTAATAGGGCTGTTGGATACTGTAAGGAATATAAAGTTATAAAAATCTGTAAAGTCATTGACAGATAACATCTGCACATTTCACTATAGTTTAATTTTGTGTTAAGATAAAACAATAAGATGGAAAGGAGAATGATCATCAAATTGTAATGGAGATAAGTATATTTCATTCACAAATTTCCCCTGCCAGTGACCATAAAATTGACCAATCCAGAATGCTAGCTACTAGTAGGGTTCGAGGCAGAATGTTGGGGTGTACCTTGGGGTTTGTTGTGGCAGCTGGACCCACGGTTACTGGGCAGAGCTCTGTGGTGGCTGCAGTGCCATGGAGAGTCTGAGATCCTCTGTGGACCTGGGCCCTGGACTGACCCTTCAGAAGCTGGGCAAGGTGGTGGTGGAGCTCCTGCCACATGATCTCAGTCCACAACTCACTGTCCACAAACTCCAGGTGGAGACACTGGTGTGTTTGCCTCTCATCGGGTTATTGGTGGGTCTCATGGTTTTATTGAGGCTTGTTCAGTCTGTTAGGGGTCAACTTTGTGTAAAGCGTGGAAACAACTGTGGAAACACTAAATTCACAGATTGAAAAGAAATGCCAACTCACTAACAAGCTTAGTGCTACCAGTAAGGAGTTTGCAGAGATTGAATTATCTTTAGAGAATGTCAGGGTAGATAGAGTCTTTAAATATACCCAGACTTAGGATACTTAAAAAAAAAATGAGGAGCACCAACTTGATGCTGATGGAGGAATTCAATTCTCTGTTTCGAGAATTGAAAGAGAGATCCAAACTCTCCAAGCAATAAGAGGCAAAGGAGGAGATGCCAAAAATGGTGGAGTCTGTAGAAGAGGTCATGAGATAAGTATATTTCATTCACAAATTTCCCCTGTCTGTGACCATAAAATTGACCAATCCAGAATGCCAGCTACTAGGAGGGTTCCAGGCAGAATGTTGGGGTGTCCCTTGGGGTTTGTGGCAGCTGGACCCATGGTTACTGGGCAGAGCCCATCACAAGGGGCTTTTCTAAACCTGCTTGGAGGAGAAGCACCAAATCCTGCTGCTCTCTTCTCAGGAGTGGACGTGGGTCTTAAATCCGTGCTGCTCCCTCCCCTCCCCTTGGGCCTCATGGGCTGCCAGGCTGCGTATACCCACCTTGACTCCTTCTGAGGGTCACTGAGGCCAGTTGGTTCAGGGGAGCTCCTCACTGGGCTGGAATTCCTCCACCTTCACATGCTGTTCATAGCAGTCAGCTTCTTCACGGTAAACTCCTTCAAATATAAAGAATATAGGAGATCCTGCAACATGTCAAGAAATGTGTGACTTTCTTTCCTTTCACAGAGAGTTTGGATTCTTTCTCATTAGCAGTGAAAGAAATGCTGTACTTGAGAGCCTAATCTTTTATTCAAATTGAAGCATCATCCAACTACATTTCTCAGTATAATGCTCTGTAAATATTCATAAATTAATAATTGAACAATTCCTATTTTATTCTCTAAATAGTTACACTTTAAAAATACAAGCAGTTTTCAATCAAGACTTTATCAATTTTTTAAATTATATTCCCAACCGTTATAAATCACAAGTTAGAGCATCATTTTTTGACCTCAGTATATATTCATATTTTAAAAGTTAATAAATATATTTTGGGATAAAGTGGAAGGGTATGCTTAGAAAGTTAAATTAATTAATATTTATATTCAAATATAATAACAAATATTTTTAAGAATGATCTCATCATCCAGGTACTGAGCACAGTACCCAATAGTTAGTTTTTCAACCCTTGCTGCCTCCCTCCCACCTCTAGTTGTCATTGGTTTCTACTGCTGCCTTCTTTATTTCCATGAGTACCCAATGTTTAGCTCTCACTTATAAATGAGAAAATGTGGCATTTGGTTTTCTGTTCTTGCATTAACTCACTTAGGATAATGGCCACCAGCTGCATCCGTGCTGCTGCAGAGGACATGATTTTGTTCTCTTCTGTGGTGTGTAGTATTGCATGGTGCTTATGTATCACATTTTCTTTATCCAGTCCACCACTGATGAGCACTGAGGTTGATTCTATTCTTTGTTGTTGTGAATACTGCTGCAATGAACATGCAAGTGCATGTGTCTTTTTGGTAGAACAATTTGTTTTCTTTGGGATACAAGCCCAGTAATGGGATTGTTCGGTGAAAATATACTTCTGTTACAGATTCTTTTAGAAATCTCCAAACTGATTTTCACAGTAGATGAACTAATTTACACTCCCACCAACAATGTATAAACATTCCCTTTTCTCCACTGCCTTACCAGGATCTTTTTTTTTTTTTTTTTTTGACTTTTTGATAGTAGCCATTCTGACTGGTTTGAGATGGCTTTCATTGTGGTCTTGATTTGCATTTCTCTGATTAGTGATGTGGAGCATTTTTTCACGTTTGTTGGCTGCTTGTATGTCTTCTTTTGAAAAGTGTCTGTCATGTCTTTTACCCATTTTTTTAATGGCAATGGGTTATTTGTTTTCTGCTTGCTCGTTTGTTTAGGTTCCTTATAGATTCTGGGTATTAGGCCTTTGTCAGATGCATAGTTAGTGAATATTTTCTCCCATTCTTCAGGTTGTCTGATTGCTCTGTTGATAGTTTCTTTTGCTGTGCAGGAGCTCTTTAGTTTAACTGGGCCCCAGTTGTCAATTTTTATTTTTGTTGCAATTGCTTTTGGGGACTTAGTCATAAAATTTTTCCCAAGGCCAATTTCCAGAATGGGTGTTTCCTAGGTTTTCTTCTAGGATTCTTATAGTTTGAGATCTTACATTTAAATCTTTAATCCATCTTAATTTTTGAATATGGTGAAAGGAAGGGGTCCAGTTTCCTTCTTTTGCATATGGCTAGCCAGCTGTGTCAGTGTCATTTATTGAATAGGGAATCCTTTTCCCATTGCTTACTTTTGTCAACTTTGTCAAAGATCAGATAGCTACAGGTGTGCAGCTTTGTTTCTGGGTTCTCTATTCTGTTCCAGTGGTCTATGTGTCTGTTTTTGTATCAGTACCATGTGTCTGTTTTTGGATACTGTAGCCTGGTAGTACAGTTTGTAGGGTAACATGATGCCTTTGGCTTTGTTCTTTTTGCTTAGGATTGCTTTGGTCAATTGACTTCTTTTTTGGCTGCATATGAATTTTAGAAGTTTTTTCTAGTTTTGTGAAAAATACCATTAGCAGTCTGAAAGGAATACATTGAATCTGTAGATTGCTTTGGGCGGTATGACCATTTTTACGATATCGATTCTTCAAATCCAGGGGCATGGAATGTTTTTCCATTTGTTTGTTTCATCTCTGATTTCTTTCAGCAATGTTTGTAGTTCTCCTCATAGAGATCCTTTACCCCCCTGCTTATTTTGCTAGGTATTTTTGTGTGGCTGTTGTAAATGGGATTGCATTCTTGACTTGGATCTTAGCTTGAATGTTATTTGCATATAGAAATATTACTAATTTTTTTACATCGATTTTATATCCTGATACTTTATTGAAGTCTTTTATCAGTCCCAGGCAGAGTTTTTAGGGCTTTCATTTTGTATAATCGTAACATTCGCAAAGAGAGATAGTCTGACTTATTTTCCTATGTGGATGCCTTTTATTTCTTTCTCTTGACTGATTGTTCTGGCTAGGATTCCCAGTACTATGTTGAATAGGAGTGGTGAGAGTAGACAACCTTGTCTTGTTCCAGTTCTCATGAAGACTGTTTCCAGCTTTTGCCCATTCACTATGATGTTAGCTGTGGGTTTGTCATCGATAGCTCTCATTATTTTGAGGTATGTTCCTTCAATGCCTAGTTTCTTAAGGGTTTATATCATGAAGTAGTGTTGGATTTTATCAAAAGCTTTTTTTCCACATCTATTGAGATTATCATGTGGTGTTTTTAGGTCTGTTTATGTGCTAAATCACATCTGTTGATTTGCATATATTGAAACAACCTGGCATCCCACGAATGAAGCCTACCTGATCATGATAAATTAACTTTTTGACATGCTGTTGGATATGGTTTGCTAGTATTTTGTTGAGGACTTTTGCATTATATTCATCAGGGATATTCACCTGTGTTCTTTTTTTCATTGTGTCTTTGCCAGGTTTTGGTATCAGGGTGATGCCGGCTTTGCAGAATGAGCTCAGGAGGAGTCCCTCCTTAATTCTTTGGGAGAGTTTCAGTATAATTGGTACCAGCTCTTCTTGTTACATCTTGTGGAATTTGACTGTGAATCCATCTGGTCTGGGGCTTTTCGGGGTTGGTAGACTTTTAATTACTGATTCAATTTCAGAACTTGACACTGGTCTGTTCAGAGTTTCAATTTCTTTATTCAATCTTGGGAGATTGTGTTTCCAGAAATTTACCCATTTCCTATAGATTTTCTACTTTGTGTGCATGAACTGTTCATAATGGTTTTTGAGGATCTTTGGTATTGATTTGTATTTTTATTGCACTGTGGTCCAAGAATATGGTTAATAAGATTTTGATTTTTTAAAATTTATTGAGACTTGCTTTATGGCCAAGCATGTAATCAATATTGGCATATGTTCTGTATGTAGATAAGAATAATGCATAATCTAGAGTTGATGAATGGAGTGTTCTGTAGATGTCTGTTAGGTCCAATTGGTCAACTGTTGAGTTTAAGTCAAGAATTTGTGTTAGTTTTCTTAGAATTGAGTTTAAGTCCAGAATTGGTTAGAATTGAAGAATTTGTTTTGTTAGAATTTAAGTCCAGAATTTGTTAGAATTGAGAATTTTGTTAGAATTTAAGTCCAGAATTTGTTAGAATTGAGTTTAAGTCCAGAATTTGTGTTAGTCCAGAATTTGTGTCTAATGCTGATAGTGGGGTTTTAAGGCCCCCACTATTATTGTGTGGCTGTCTGTGTCCTTTCATAGGTCCTAGAAGTGCTTGCTTTATGAATCTGGGTGCTCCAATGTTGGGTGTGAATAAATTTAGGATAGTTATGTCTTCTTGTTGAATAGAACACTTTGTTATATAATGCCCTTTTTTTTTTTTTTTTTTTTTTTTTTTTTTTAAGAGATGTAGTCTCACTCTGTCACCCAGGCTGGAGTGCAGTGGCGTGATCTCGGCTCACTGCAAGCTCTGCCTCCTGGGTTCATGCCATTCTCCTGCCTCAGCCTCCCGAGTAGCTGGGATTATAGGTACCCGCCACCATGCCCGGCTAATTTTTGTATTTTTCATAGAGACGGGGTTTCACCATATTAGCCAGGATAGTCTCGAAATCCTGACCTCATGATTTGCCCACCTCAGCCTCCCAAAGTGCTGGGATTACAGGTGTGAGCCACTGCGCCCGGCCTCTTTGTTCTTTTTTACTGTTGTTGGTTTAATGTATGTTTGATCAGACATAAGAACAGTGACTTCTGCTTTTTTTTTCCATTTACATGGTAGATCTTTCTCCAACCCCTTACTTGGAGCTTATGAGTGCTGCTATGAGATGGGTCTTTTGAAGACAACAGACAGATGGGTCTTGTTTTTTTATCCAAATTGCCACTCTGTGACTTTTAAGTGTGGTGTTTAGACCATTTGCATTCAGGTTAATATTGATATGTGAAGTTTTGATCATATCGTGAAGTCATTAGCTAGTTGCTTTGTAGTTTCTATAGTGCTTGTCTCAGAAAGCTCAAGGCTGCCCAAAGAATTCATTCTTTTTTTTTGTCTTGGCAACAACTGACTATAGGCCCCTGACTTCCCTTTCTTACAGGGTTTATCGAAAAAAGATAAACAATTGTGAGACCCTCTTATTCCCTTTTCTGAGATGTACATGTGTCTCCTACACATCAGGAGTATCTTTCTCAAGTCTCTGAAAATCATTCCTTTGACATGAAATCATGAGGAAGCAAAAGGCCTCTGTCTTTCAGTCTCTGTGGGAGAACAGAATTCTAACTTCCATAATGGCCAGCTAGCAGGCACAGCCGCCTACTCTCACTTACACTTACCAACCCTTTGTAAGTTTTCACTTCCCTGACTCTACCGAATCCCCACTTATCCCCTTGCTTACTGTCACTTTCTCCCTTTAAAACACCTAGGCACCATTGCACAAATCAAAGTTGAATTCACTTTATGACAGGCCCTTTTCCCTATTACAGTAGTATATTATTGATTAAAACTGTACTTACCACTTTAGTGTCTACCTTTATCACTGACAGTTAATACACATGCATATACTCATATTCACATATATACACACACATAACATGTATGCACAAACGTGTATATATACATATATATTCTTAATAGATGCTTTGTCTTCTATAATCATTTCTTCTCCATCTGTTACACTAGAGGAAGTTCTCAAATATCAAGTGGCCCTTGGATGCTCATTCATATTTACATAATAGGAAGGACAGAGCTGAGTGGAGCTCTGTTTACCTGGGTGGGGCCTGTGTCTTTCTGGACTCAATATATCTTCAGAGGTGTTGAGTATTGAACTAGTAACAGGACAACAGTGGTGGTGCTCATGCTAAAGTCTAAAAAATACTTGTTTCACACACATTCCCCACACAGACAAACACCCACTGAACACATAAAACACAGACAACACACACTCATAGACTCCCACAATTCCCATAATTGTGTTATGTCCCACAGTTCCCTTAAGGCCCAAAGACAAAATATACAGTGAAGGGGTTGGGGAAAAACTAGTTGGTCCATCTGATATTTTAGTGGAGCAGCAGCTGGAAATTTTTACCCTGTATTACTCAACATTACACACTTCATGATTTATATATGTGAAGTGATTTTAATCTATACAGTCCCCACCTAAAACATGGTTAATAATTAAATGTATTGACAGGTATATAATAATATGTTAAGAATAGAAGTAAGATTAACTCACCCTTTGGAACCTGAAGTCTACAATTAGGAGTCAAATAAAGATGTATTAAACATGACTCTGAGCTTATGGTTACATATTTTCACTTATTTAATCCTAACAGTAACCCTGCCCTTTATGGTTTTTTTACCCATTCAGCAAATGCTGTGATCTGAGCTTCAAAAAGCTTAGCGATATGACAAATTTATTTGTCATAAAAGTTTGAATTTAAACTTAGCTCAGCCTATCTCACAAACTCAAATCCTCAAACATTTTCATCTTGAGAGGACGCACCTGAGCCAGGTTTTACCTGACTAGTACCCCTTTTCACTGTGCTTTCTCTCCTTCCAGTTTCTCACACAATTCCTCCCCATGCCCAGGTTCTCCTACCCCACAGGATCCTTTGGCACATTGACTTCACTTCCCAAACATCAGCCAATGCCTTTTTCAATTTTTCTGGTTTGTTTAATTCACACTTACAACTTTAAATTTATACTTACTAAGGGAAATATTCTCAAGTCCTGTTGAGCTTTCAGTTGATTTATGAATCAAGACCCCCATCATGAATGACCCTAAATACCTGACTCTTCGATGGCTGCATCTGTCACAGCACAGGACTGAGATATTGACCCTTATCTAAATACAAACTCATGGTTCTCCCAATGGCTTCCAAACACATTTGGCAATTCTACTCTGCCTTATTAAATAATCATCCAGGCACAGATGAGACCCGCTCCTACTACACAGATAAATTAGTTAAGCTGACAAACTGGAAGTATCTGTGCATATCTGCTTGCATTTGTCTGATGATTGTTTTAGTATTTTGAGAGAGGTTGGATTCTGTGTCTACTCAGACATGAGGAAAATGTGTGTGTGCCTTCTCTGTGGAAAGAGTATTTAGAGACATAAACTTTTGGACTTTTAGAGAGTGAAGGAAACAGTAATTTGCTGGGTGGAAGTTTGGACTTCTTTGTATTTGATAGAGGTTTCCCCCCACCCCACCCCATGGAGACATATAAATCCTTCCAGATTTTCAGACAAAATTTCTTTCTGTGCTTTTGGCTATACAGTATGCATAACTTACAAAGTTTTACTGCACTGCAGCCTCCACCATAAAGACAAACTGTCACCTTTCTTTAAATAGAGATCTCTGCACACAACAATTTGAAAATTCATAAAATTTTAAACTAAATTATAAATAGCAAATGTGTAACCAATAAAGGAAGACTACACATACACACACACACACACAAATGAAAACAATGAGCAATATGATAAATGCTGTGTTTTCTAGCTTTGTTTCAATAAAATAAGAAGTTATATTAAAATTGTCTTTAAAGCCAGTTAATTACCAAATAAAACTTGTAGCAAAAAGATAGTGGCATTGGAAACTCAAAGACATTTAAATATAAGAAATCACTATGTTACCACATTTTAAACATTCTACAATCCAGTAAAAAATTTCCCTAGAGGGACACTTGCCTAATAAATACATATTTTTTACAGAAAGGGGAGTATTTGGAAAAGTAGGTCAACACTCAACTCAAATTTTAGAAAAATAGTCACCACATGCAAAGAAATGATAAAAGACAAAAGTTATAATGATGCTAAAGTGACTCCATATAAAAAAACTTTAAAAAACAAAACATAAGAAAGACTGAATAATTTAAAGTATTTGTAAGCTGGAATCCATGTTGGACACTTTAATAGAAAAGAAAAAAGCTGGAAACAAAACAATAAAAATGGGGTGTTTTCATCATGGACTAAACAGAAATTGGATATAATTATGAACTAAGCAGAGATTGGATATAATATCTGATGGTAAAAATAATTGTTAACTCAAAATACAACACAGTTCAGTGCCAGAAGCTATATCCAAGTGCGTAGGGAAATAGACTCTATAAAGAATTATAGGGCGGTTCCAAGATGGCCGAATAGGAACAACTCCAGTCTACAGCTCCCAGTGTGAGAGATGTAGAAGACGGGAGATTTCTGCATTTGCAACTGAGGTACCGGGTTCATCTCACTGGGGCTTGTCAAGACAGTGGGTGCAGAACAGTGGGTGCAGCGCACTGAGCGTGAGCCAAAGCAGGGCGAGGCATTGCCTCACCCAGGAAGTGCAAGGGGTCAGGGAATTCCCTTTCCTAGCCAAGCAAAGCTGTGACAGACGGAACCTGGAAAACCGGGTCACTCCCACCCAAATACTATGCTTTTCCAATGGTCTTAGCAAACAGCACACCAGGAGATTATATCCCGCACCTGGCTCGGAGGGTCCCATGCCCACAGGGCCTTGCTCATTACTAGCACAGCAGTTTGAGTTCGAAACTGCAAGGTGGCAGCAAGGCTGGGGAAGGGGCGCCCGCCATTGCTGAGCCTTGAGTAGGTAAACAAAGCAGCAGGGAAGCTCGAACTGGGTGGAGCCCACCGCAGCTCAAGGAGCCGTGTCTGCCTCTGTAGACTCCACCTCTGGGGGAAGGGCATAGCCAAACAAAAGGCAGCAGAAACTCTGCAGACTTAAATGTCCCTGTCTAACAGCTTTGAAGAGAATAGTGGTTCTCCCAGCACGGAGTTTGAGATCTGAGAACGGACAGACTGCCTCCTCAAGTGGGTCCCTGACCCCAAGTAGCCTAACTGGGAGGCATCCCCCAGTAGGGGCAGACTGACACCTCACACGGCCGCGTACCCCTCTGAGATAAAACTTCCAGAGGAACGATCAAACAGCAACATTTGCTGTTCAGCAATATTCGCTGTTCTGCAGCCTCTGCTGCTGATACCCAGGCAAACAGGATCTGGAGTGGACCTCCAGCAAACTCCAACAGACCTGCAGCTGAGGGTCCTGACTGTTAGAAGGAAAACTAACAAACAGAAAGGACATCCACACCAAAACCCCATCTGTATGCCACCATCATCAAAGACCAAAGGTAGATAAAAACCACAAAGATGGGGAAAAAACAGAGCAGCAAAACTGAAAATTCTAAAAATCAGAGCACCTCTCCTCCTCCAAAAGAACACAGCTCCTCACCAGCAATGGAGCAAAGCTGGATGGAGAATGACTTTCATGAGTTGAGAGAAGAAGGCTTCAGACGATCAAACTTCTCCAAGCTAAAGGAGGAAGTTCGCACCCATCGCAAAGAAGTTGAAAACCTTGAAAAAAGATTAGACGAATGGCTAACTAGAATAACCAAAGTAGAGAAGGCCTTAAATGACCTGATGGAGCTAAAAACCATGGCACGAGAATGACATGACGAATGCACAAGCTTCAGTAGCCAATTTGATCAGCTGTAAGAAAGGGTATCAGTGATGGAAGATCAAATGAATGAAGTGAAGCAAGAAGAGAAGTTTAGAGAAAAAAGAATAAAAAGAAACGAACAAAGCCTCCAAGAAATATGGGACTATGTGAAAAGACCAAATCTATGTCTGATTGGTGTACATGAAAGTGACGGGGAGAATGGAACCAAGTTGGAAAACACTCTGCAGGATATTACCCAGGAGAACTTCCCCAACCTAGCAAGGCAGGCCAACATTCAAATTCAGGAGATACAGAGAATGCCACAAAGATACTCCTCGAGAAGAGCAACTCCAAGACACATAATTGTCAGATTCACCAAAGTTGAAATGAAGGAAAAAATGTTAAGGGCAGCCAGAGAGAAAGGTCGGGTTACCCACAAAGGGAAGCCCATCAGACTAACAGTGGATCTCTCAGCAGAAACTCTACAAGCCAGAAGAGAGTGGGGACCAATATTCAACATTTTTAAAGAAAAGAATTTTCAACCCAGAATTTCATATCCAGCCAAACTAAGCTTCATAACTGAAGGAGAAATAAAATACTTTACAGACAAACAAATGCTGAGAGATTTTGTCACCACCAGGCCTGCCCTACAAGAGCTCCTGAAGGAAGCACTAAACATGGAAAGGAACAACTGGTAACAGCCACTGCAAAAACATGCCAAATTGTAAAGACCATCGATACTAGAAAGAAACTGCATCAAGTAACGAGCAAAATAACCAGCTAACATCATAATGACAGGATCAAATTCACACATAACAATATTAACCTTAAATGTAAATGGGCTAAATGTTCCAATTAAAAGACACAGACTGGCGAATTGGATAAAGAGTCAAGACCCATCAGTGTGCTGTATTCAAGAGACACATCTCACGTGCAGAGACACACATAGGCTCAAAACAAAGGGATGGAGGAAGATCTACCAAGCAAATGGAAAACAAAAAAAGGCAGGGGTTGCAATCCTAGTCTCTGATAAAAGAGACTTTAAACCAACAAAGATCAAAAGAAACAAAGAAGGCCATTACATAATGGTAAAGGGATCAATTCAACAAGAAGAGCTAACTATCCTAAATATATATGCACCCAATACAGGAGCACCCAGATTCATAAGGCAAGTCCTTAGAGACCTACAAAGAGACTTAGACTCCCACACAATAATAATGGGAGACTTAGACAACACACTGTCAACATTAGACAGATCAATGAGACAGAAAGTTAACAAGGATATCCAGGAATTGAACTCAGCTCTGCACTAAGCAGACCTAAAAGACATCTACAGAACTCACCACCCCAAATCAACAGAATATACATTCTTGTCAGCACTACATTGCACTTATTCCAAAATTGACCACATAGTTGGAAGTAAAGCACTCCTCAGCAAATGTAAAAGAACAGAAATTATAACAAACTGTCTCTCAGAACACAGTGCAATCAAACTAGAACTCAGGATTAAGAAACTCACTCAAAACCACTTAAGTATATGGAAACAGAACAACCTGCTCCTGAATGACTACTGGGTACATAATGAAATGAAGGCAGAAATAAAGATGTTCTTTGAAACCAACGAGAACAAAGACACAAGATACCAGAATCTCTGGGGCACATTCAAAGCAGTGTGTAGAGGGAAATTTATAACACTAAATGCCCACAAGAGATAGCAGCAAAGATCTAAAACTGACACCCTAACATCACAATTAAAAGAACTAGAGAAGCAAGAGCAAACATATTCAAAAGCTAGCAGAAGGCAAGAAATAACTAAGATCAGAGCAGAACTGAAGGAGATAGAGACATAAAAAAAACCCTTCAAAAAATCAATAAATCCAGGAGCTGGTTTTTTGAAAAGATCAACAAAATTGATAGACCGCTAGCAAGACTAATAAAGAAGAAAAGAAAGAAGAATCAAATAGACACAATAAAAAATGATAAAACAGATATCACCACTGATCCCACAGAAATACAAACTACCATCAGAGAATACTATAAACTCCTCTATGCAAATAAAATAGAAAATCTAGAAGAAATGGATAAATTCTTGGACACATACACCCTCCCAAGACTAAACCAGGAGGAAGTTGAATCTCTGAATAGACCAATAACAGCTCTGAAATTGAGGCAATAATTAATAGCTTACCAACCAAAAAGAATGCAGGACCAGATGGATTCACAGCCGAATTCTACCAGAGGTACAAGGAGGAGCTGGTACCATTCCTTCTGAAACTATTCCAATCAATAGAAAAAGAGGGAATCCTCCCTAACTCATTTTATGAGGCCAGCATCATCCTGATACCAAAGCCTGGCAGAGACACAACAAAAAAGGAGAATTCTAGACCAATATCCCTGATGAACATCGACGCAAAAATCCTCAATAAGATACTGGCAAACCGAATCCAGCAGCACATCAAAAAGCTTATCCACCATGATCAAGTGGGCGTCATCCCTGGGATGCAAGGCTGGTTCAACATACGAAAATCAATAAACGTAATCCATCATATAAACAGAACCAAAGACAAAAACCACATGATTATCTCAATAGATGCAGAAAAGGCCTTTGACAAAATTCAACCACCCTTCATGCTAGAAACTCTCAATAAATTAGGTATTGATGGGACGTATCTCAAAATAATAAGAGCTATCTATGACAAATCCACAGCCAATATCATACTGAATGGACAAAAACTGGAAGCATTCCCTTTGAAAACGGGCACAAGACAGGGATGCCCTCTCTCACCACTCCTATTCAACACAGTTTTGGAAGTTCTGGCCAGGGCAATCAGGCAGGAGAAGGAAATAAAGGGTATTCAATTAGGAAAAGAGGAAGTCAAATTGTCCCTGTTTGCAGATGACATGATTGTATATCTAGAAAACCCTGTTGTCTCAGCCCAAAATCTCCTTAAGCTGATAAGCAACTTCAGCAAAGTCTCAGGATACAAAATCAATGTGCAAAAATCACAAGCATTCTTATACACCAATAACAGGCAAACAGAGAGCCAAATCATGAGTGAACTCCCATTCACAATTGCTTCAAAGAGAATAAAATACCTAGGAATGCAACTTACTAGGGATTTGAAGGACCTCTTCAAGGAGTACTACAAACCACTGCTCAACAAAATAAAAGAGGACATAAACAAATGGAAGAACATTCCATGCTCATGGATAGGAAGAATCAATATTGTGAAAATGGGTATACTGCCCAAGGTAATTTATAGATTCAATGCTATCCCCATCAAGCTACCAATGACTTTCTTCACAGAATTGGAGAAAACTACTTTAAAGTTCATTGGAACCAAAAAAGAGCCCACATTGCGAAGTCAATCCTAAGCCAAAAGAACAAAGCTGGAAGCATCACGCTACTTGACTTCAAACTATATTACAAGGCTACAGTAACCAAAACAACATGATACTGGTACCAAAACAGAGATACAGACCAATGGAACACAACAGAGCCCTCAGAAATAATACCACACATCTACAACTATCTGATCTTTGACAAACCTGACAGAAACAAGCAATGGGGAAAGGATTCCCTATTTAATAAATGGTGCTAGGAAAACTGGCTAGCCATATGTAGAAAGCTGAAACTGGATCCCTTCCTTACACCTTATATAAAAATTAATTTAAGATGGATTAAAGACTAAATGTTAGACCTAAAACCATAAAAACTCTAGAAGAAAACCTAGGCAATACTATTCAGGACATAAGCATGGGCAAGGACTTCATGTCTAAAACACCAAAAATCAATGGCAACAAAAGCCAAAATTGACAAATGGGATCTAATTAAACCGTCAGAGTGAACAGGCAACCTACAGAATGGGACAAAATTTTTGCAATCTCTCCATCTGACAAAGGGCTAATATCCAGAATCTACAAAGAACTCAAATAAATCTACAAGAAAAAACAAACAACCCCATCAACAAGTGGGCAAAGGATATGAAAAGACACTTCTCAAAAGAAGACATTTATGCAGCCAACAGACACACGAAAAAATGCTCATCATCACTGGTCATCAGAGAAATGCAAATCAAAATCACAATGAGATAACATCTCACACCAGTTAGAATGGCCGTCATTAAAAAGTCAGGAAACAACAGGTGCTGGAGAGGATGTAGAGAAATAGGAACACTTTTACACTGTTGGTGGGACTGTAAACTATTTCAACCATTGTGGAAAACAGTGTGGCGATTCCTCAGGGATCTAGAACTAGAAATACCATTTGACCCTGCCATCCTATTACTGGGTATATACCCAAAGGATTATAAATCATGTTGCTATAAAGACACATGCACACATATGTTTACTGCGGCACTATTCACAATAGCAAAGACTTGGAACCAACCCAAATGTCCAACAATGATAGACTGGATTAAGAAAATGTGGCACATATACACCGTGGAATACTATGCAGCCATAAAAAAGGATGAGTTCATGTCCTTTGTAGGGACATGGATAAAGCTGGAAACCATCATTCTCAGCAAACTATCGCAAGGACAAAAAACCAAACACCGCATGTTCTCACTCATAGGTGGGAATTGAACAAAGAGAACACTTGGACACAGGAAGGGGAACATCAAACACTGGGGCCTGTTGTGGGGTGGGGGAAGTGGGGAGGGATAGCATTAGGAGATACCCCTAATGTAAATGACAAGGTAATGGGTGCAGCACACCAACATGGCACATGTATACATATGTAACAAACCTGCACATTGTGCACCTGTACCATAGAACTTAAAGTATAATAAAAAAATATATATATATATAAAATTATAGATTTAACCTCAGTGAGAGGATTCTTTATTTAATGAATAATCCAAAAATAATTGGTGATCCACAAAAAGAAAATAAAGTGAGAGACAAATTCCTGACTCTTTTAATGTCATACTGGTTAAATATTCGGGGGGAAAATTTTTATTAAAAATATGTGTACAAAATACTTTCTAAAACAGGCATAATTCATCACAATTAATTACAGAGGGTTGTTCAAACAAATGGATCTACTTCTATAGATATACATGCATATACAGACATAGATATAGATAAATATCAACTTTCCTTTTAGCATGAAAAGACAAGAAATTTAAACAATAGTGAACTAATAAAAATATACCTCCGTTAAACTGCTCAGACTCAAGAAAATTAGGGTGAATAATCATACATCACAGATGATGAAAGAAGTACTGTGTTCTCATACCTTGCATATTACGATTATAAAGTGTTCCACATTTAGGGGTTGGCAACCAAACAATATCTATTAACAACTAAAATATAGAAAAGCAAAATGCAGCAATGCTGGTCCTGAGAATCTCCCCAGAGTAATAAACGCAGGTATAATTACAAGAGCAAAATGCAGGACACCAATACTTCTATGATATGACCTGTATTTGGTGTTGGGCTTTACAGGAGCTCTTTCTCAGACACATATGCATTATCTGTATCTTTTCTGAGATTCTACTAACTTTATGGTGAAATCAACAATAAAAGGTTTTCATTTTGATAAATTGGTTTTCAAAAGAGAAAGATGTTACAAGACCCTTTCAACTTGTCTTGCAAGTGAAGGCTATATCTGAGGCTGCCAAGAAAAGTTATTGACAAAGGCATGGCAAAATGTTAATGTGGTTTTGTTGACCACTGTGTTTGCAGCACAGTGGAGAAACAGCGTGGTTTTCTGTCCTTGCTGAGTTTTATGCATTTTAAGGAATCATATTTGTTCATTCCACATTGCAGAATGTTTCTTGCATTTTCATTTCCTAATGCAGACTAAATATCTTATGTGGTTTGCAATAATTCTCTCCTTTTAAAGGTATTTCTGGAGTAACTGCCTGGTCTGTAACATGTTTGATGGATACCTAACCCTTAAATATTACAAAATTTTATGCACAATCACTACTTGATTTTGATGGACATAAAAACACGTTTTTAAGTTACAGTAGCAAGATATTATCGTTGCCTGTGTTAACTCATTACTGATACTCGGTTTATAATCATAGCCACCCTTTGTGAAAAGGTTAGCTTGTTACATTATGGTTATGCTGAGGGAAGAACAGGCTATCCTGGATGCTTGAGGGCCTCTCGTGGTGACTGAGTGTTGGCACTAGTGTCAGTTCATATCTAAATATTCCTACATATGTAATGTACTTTCATATTTTTTTTGACAACACTTGTCTAGGGAATATTTCAACTCTACTCTGTGCTTTTGGGATTCAATGGGAATCCCCTTTCAGATGGTCAACAGTGTGAGCCTTATTGATTGACCTTTTTGCCCTCTTCCCTGAAATATATTCTCTAGGTTTAATCTGTGGAATTAGATTTTAAGTCACATTTTCTTGCGTAAATGTATGAAAGCAGGAAAACCGGCTGTTGCTCATATTAACAGCATTTTTTTCACATAGTGTAAGAAAAACAGTGGTCTTATTCACCAGACCAATCTTGTATTCCCGCTGGTCTCACAGTTCAAGACTCCCTTCCCCAGGCTTTTTGTTCTGAGGTCTGGCCATACAAGCATCCTAGCTGAGTGGGTGGAAACGACATTTACCTGGTACAGGCCTGACCTGTGAAAACACCCTCTGTGAAGCCCCAAATATTTTTTGCCATACAACTGCATGAAATTTTCCCAAGCACCATAGCCAGATTTGAAGACACAGGTTAGCAATGAGAAATACACCAATAGAAGGTATGGGGGTCCCTAAATCCATATTTGGAGGAAAATCCACAAGCAGAGTCACATGACATTTGAAAGCCTGTGTTGAGGTGGTATATGCCAGCAATGATAAATATTACATGATGATCAAACTGCTGATAAATTCAGGTTTGTCTATTACAACAGCTAATTTTACGTTAACTGTAACAAAAATATATTGAAGAAAAGTTTGCATGGAAATTTTTATTTTTATATTTATTTATTTATTTATTTATTTATTTATTTATTTATTTATTTTGAGATGGAGTCTCACTCTGTCGCCCAGGCTGGAGTGCAGTGGCACAATCTCGGCTCACTGCAACCTCCGCCTCCTGGGTTCAAGCAATTCTCCTATCTCAGCCTCTCAAGTAGCTGGGACTACAGGCACTTGCCATCACGCCCAGCTAATGTTTGCATTTTTAGTAGAGGCAAGGTTTCACCATATTGGTCAGGCTGGTCTTGAACTTCTGACCTCAGGTGATCTGCCTGCCTTGGCCTCCCAAAGTGCTGGGATTATAGGTGTGAGCCACTGCACCTGGCCTGGACAATTTTTATTCAAATTCTGTGTACAACAAACATTTCCTGAGTATTTCAAAAGGCGAAGGAAAATATAAACCATACAGTTATTCATATAAGAAACCTGTATCATGATCTTCACTCTGTTTTTGAAATTCATGATGTATAATATACTTAAATATCTTCCCATGATTTTGCTTTCAGATATTTTACCAGTACAAAAATATGAATGTAGATTATTTTGTTTAGCAGTATTTATAAGAAAGTGTCATGAGTATTCCTATTTTATAATTTGCCTTTTGCAACTGTTAAATGAGAGGAAACAAAAGCACACTTCACTTTCCTTTCTCGAAGGCAAACCAGCTGTATTTCACTCCCTCGAATAGCTACTAATTTCTTGAAAATACTTCTGGAGAGCTCTCCCCAAATAGGGACAAGCCAGAAGATTTTTCACTTTCATCTGCTCTGCTCATTTGTGACTGTGATCAAACCTAGAAGATTTAGAAAGGAAGATTCCATCTCAAACAGCCCTGTAGTCATCTGTGTCCTGCAGGATGAAGCTCTGCAGCAGAGTCTGAGGATAGAAGTGTAGACTGCATCATTCAGATGTTTTTTTCAATTTTTGAAAGAAACTGGAAGAAGGTCCTATCACACAGGCATGACTGAGAAAGAATCCTTTTGTGATGCTCCCGTGGATTTGACGCATGTTCAGCCAAAGGAGCAGACAGATCAAGAAATTGAGAATTTCAGGATTCGGTAGGAGGTCTAGCAGGGGGCACTGGGAAACAACTAAGTATTGAGCTCTGAGTGTCCTGCACTGCACCCTGATGGCCAGCAGGGAGTGATGGAGCCCTCCTTTTCTGCTCCATGTGGCCCGAATGCATATCTGGCGCTCTCAGGAGGACTTCAGGAGGTATTGATTTAAAAAATGAATGCCTTTAACAGCACCCAAGTCACCTCTTGAATGCTTTGCTGCTTAGAAATTTCTTCTGCCAGATACCCTAAATCATCTCTCTCAAGTTCAAAGTTCCACAAATCTCTAGGGCAGGGGCAAAATACCATCAGTCTCTTTGCTAAAACATAACGAGAGTCACCTTTGCTCCAGTTTCCAACAAGTTCCTCATCTCCATCTGAGACCACCTTAGCCTGGACTTTATTGCTATCAGCATTTTGGGTAAAACCATTCAACAAGTCTCTAGGAAGTTCCAAACTTTCCCACATTTTCCTTTCTTCTTTTGAGCCATCTCAAGTATTCCAACCTTTCCCTGTTACCCAGTTCCAAAGTCGCTTCCAAATTTTTGGGTATCTTTTCAGCAGCACCCCACTCTACTGATACCACTTTGCTGTATTAGTCCATTTTTTTTCACATTGCTGATAAAGACATACCCAAGACTGGGAAGAAAAAAAGGTTTAACAAACTTTCAGTTCCACATGGTTGGGGAGGCCTCACAATCATGGCGGAAGGTAAGCAGGAGCAAGTCAGGTCTTACATGGATGGGAGCAGGCAAAGAGAGAGCTTGTACAGGGAAACTCCTGTTTTTAAAACCATCAGGTCTCATGAGACTCATTCACCATCCCGAGAACAATACAGAAAAGACCTGCCCCCATAATTCAATCACCTCCCACCAAGTTCCTCCCACAACACATAGGAATTCAAGATGAGGTTTGAGTGGGGACATAGCCAAACCATATCAGTTATTAACTACTGCAGAACAGTAACCAAATCCTTCTTTGTGTTGTTTTCGCCATTCCACTTGCCAGTCACGTGCGGTTACCAGCATATCACAATCCAGCAGAGGATGTTGGAGCACCCATTCTATTTGGGAGCTTGTAGTTTCAGGTCTGCCCAGCAGGAGTACATGGGGCTGACTGTGATGGCCTAGAAGATATTCAAAAGGCAAGTGGTGCCAATGCACACAGCCCTGCCCACTTTGTGAACATAGAAAACAAGTTTGTACCTAATTATGATTGAGAAAATGTTTCAACCCAAAAGCAGGCATTCTCTGTGGGGCTCCTTTATAAAGTATCACAAAGGAGGTGGCTACAGCCAGGTGTTTGAGAATCAGATCTGTAGACCTTAATGTGCATTTGGTGAAATAAAGAGAAATACAATGCTAAAGAAAAAATATTTTCATCAGGAACCCAATTATGGTCTGAGATAAGATTATTCCTATTGCCACATCCCTAGAGGACATTTGTTCTTTTCCAGTGACTGATACTTCTATTCATATTCAGAGTTAGAGGATCCTGAAGGGAAACATGAGGTCTATTTTATTTTGGCAACTGAAATTCAATATTGTCCACAGACCATTGTTTTCAACTCATAACGTTCTTATTAAATTCCATTTTCTATTGCTGAACTACACACCACACACCACACACCACACACACACATATTTACTGTGAGTACTATATTCATATTTTACATAGAACATTTACAATGATTCTACAAAGTAAGCAATTTATTATTATTTTTTTTTTTACAGGTGAGGGGAACTTAGGTGTAGAAAGGCTAAATAACAGCTAAATAACATCTAAAGCCCCCTCCTTCCTTGTAAGAGGCAGAGTCCGGAGCTGACAATGTGCTTAACCACTATGTGCCTCAACCTTGGACCTAGTCAGTCTTTTCTAAAACTCCACATATATTTCATTTTCTTTTTTTTGTAGATTTTGTCAGGTTTTTAAAAATGGTTGTATATTTATAAAATATGATTGTGGTAATCTCTTATTTAAATATCATTGCTTAATTTATAGGCAAATATCACTTATGATTCAGAGATCCAAATACAATGAAGATGCCTTAATTCCACAGATGCCAAATGAAATTTATGGAATGCAGAAATGATTTCATACTGGAATTAAGAGTCTTTTCATCATAACCAAGAAATAGGGCACAGTGGAATGACAGTGCTGTAATCCAGGGGACATAAAACATGAGTAGGCAATAAAATATTGCAGAGGAGAAACTACATCACCATTAATATATGGAGAAAATTAGTATTTGTGGATGCAAAAATATAAAATAAAATTATTTCAATGTCAGAATTGTTTAACATATTAAAACATGAGCCCACTATGTAAAAGGGAAACTGGAGGCAGGAAAAATTATTCACGGAATCAATTTAAATTGTACTAAGATAAGCACTGAACCTGGTAATGGCCTTAGAAGATTTTAAAAACAGAGCAAATATCACAAACAATTCAATTCAGAAAACTGCCGAAGATCTTGACCTTTTTTAAAAATACAAAAATCTACAGAAAAGTTACCCTTCTTTACTGACTTCATGAAGGAAAGCAGTCTCACCATAAGGAGTAGACAATGCATGTTTTCAGTCACCACACAGCTATGGTCTCCATTAAGTATATAATATGTCCAGAGTGGTTAAACTCCATAGTTACTACTTCTGAACAGAATAAGGTAATTCAATTGGTGAACTCTTACACACTATCGAAGGCATGAAGGTGTTGTAGAAACACCTCTACTAATCCTGAAAATGTCCCCGACTCTTCTAGAAAAAAAATAAAGCAGCTGGGAAATTAATTCCAAATTACACTAGAGAACTGGGAAAAAACAGATTTCATGGCCATCAAAAGCAATAATGACAAACAGTGAGGATTACATTAAATTAGAAGCAGTTAGGGACTGGTTTGTGACCTTGCCCTCCATTTCTTTTCCACAAGTTCAGCCCGTGGCTCACTGATTATTTCCTCCTTCCTGCATGGCTTTAGCACTGGCTCAGTTTCTAGCCCCAAAGAAGACCTTCTCCAGACAGGAATACTTACTGTACCTCCCAATATACTTCCTTCCCTTGCAGACTTTGCCTTCTGAACTACTCGTTTGATTTTTTTTGCTGCAGGGCTGGTGGGCTTGAAGTGATGGTCAGGACAGCCAGAGTGTGTGGGAGGAGGCAGGCGGTTCTGAGATATGGGTTCGAGATCTTGTGACATCATCTCCCCTCGAAACTGCAATAATCATTTCACCTGTAGCAACAATGACAGTACACACTTGGGGAGCTGAAGATAGTTTGAAAACCATTTTCCCAGTTACTGTTTACCAAAAACAATTACAACTTTCTAGTGAGTGCCTCCAGAGAGATGTGAGTGTTTTGGAGAGGTTCTTCTTTTCCAGGACCCCTGGAGGGACAGGACTCATGTAGATGGAGCAGGAAATGCTGAGATCTGGGACATGAGGGACTGACCACAAGGCAGTGTGTCTTACTGGATTCTATGCTTCCTTGATGTGTTCCCTGCTGAAAATCTAATTTTCTGTTATTCCCCAAATTCCTGAGCCAAACTATTATTTAATTATGAATAAAGAAATGGGATCATACAATAGACTGGTAAAGAATGTATCAATAGGTTACGGTGCAAATAGGCAGTCGTCCCCAACCTTTTTGGCACCTGGGACCCGTTCCATGGATGGGAAGACAATTTTTCCATGGACAGGATCAGGTGTTGTTGCGGAGATGGTTTCGGGATAAAACTGTTCCACCTCAGATGATCAGGCATTACAGTCTCATAAGGAGTGTGCAACCTAGATCCCTCACATGAGCAGTTCACAATAGGGTTTGCTGCTTCTGTGAGAATCTAATGCCACTGCTGATCTGAAAGGAGGCAGAGCCCAGGCAGCAATGCTCGCTCTCCAACCACTCACCTCCTGCTGTGCGGCCAGTTTCCTAACAGGCCATGGACAGGTACTGGTCTGCAGCCTGGGGGTTGAGGACTTCTGCACATAGGAGCCTGAAGTCATGTACTGATACAAAAAATTAATAGGGGAGAAGCTGTATAATTCAATGCAAATTAACATGTACATGTACATTATATATATTCTAAGAATACATATTTTATCAATTTACTGCTGTAGAGACTCCAAACTGCACAATATTTACAGAAAAAAATAGACATTTATCAAATAGTCCCTTTCACACAAAAATGTACCATGTTCATATGATCCAGAGATAAATTTTACTAATAAACAAATGCTAACTAAATTATTCAAGAGTTTTAAAGAATAATTTTTAGGAAGACTACATAAGGGTGATATGACAGCTTTGCCTGGGTTAAGTCAAATAGAGTATTTCAGATGTATTGAACATATGAATATAATTGTGAAAGTTTTAAATATTAGAAACCATTGTGTTAGAACATTAAACATTATATTATTATCAACTGGCCTTTATGCCAAGAATGCAAGTAGATTCAGCATTTGGAAATCCATCAATAGAATTAATCAAATTAATAAAAAAAATCCTTGATTATGAGAAACAAAGATGGTCTTTTTCAGAGGAAGTACTAAAATAAAAGCTAATAGATGTTCTATGTGACTGAAACTTTTTATGTGTAAAAAGTTTTCCTTCAAGGTAAAGATGAAGAAGCACTATCTGGCTAACTTCAAGATGTACAAAACCCAAAGCCAATTAAGAGGCAGAGCCAAACAGCAGAAGCACCAGTATCCTTGGCATAAGCTGGCAGATTTTGGTGGAAGTGACAGGCACCCTGGAATAAAAAAAGGGGTTGCCTCCGACACAGTTGCCAATTCTTGAATTTCACAATTTTCCTTTGGTGTTTGTATCTTTCTATGGCCCTCCTGTTTGTGATCAGACATGTGGCCCACAGAGGTGACTTGTCTACAGAATATGGCATTCATCATTGTCCACTCCTCAGCACAGGAGGGAGACCTGTAGTCCAATAAATATTCTTATCAGTTGAAAAGAACAGAAGAACTAAACAAATGAAGAGATATACCATGCTCATAGATAGGAAGACAATATTGTCTAGATGGCAGTTTTCATCAAATTTATCTACATATTCAGAGTAATTCCAATAAAAATTCCAGGAACTTATTTTGTGGATATTAAAACTGACTCTAAAGCTTATATGAAAAGGCAAAAGACCTAGAATTGCCAACACAATATTGTAGGAAAAGAATAAAATTGGAGGACAGAGATACTACTTAGTTTCAAGACTTACAATAAAGCTACCGTTATGAAGACAGTGTGGTATTGATGAAATAATAGACAAATCAATGGGAAGAACAGAGAACCTAGAAATAGGCCAACATAAATATAGTCCACAGATCTTTGACTTCAGAGGTTAAGGTAATAAAATGTAGCTAAGATAGCCTCTTCAACAGATGGTGCTAGAAGAACTGGACATATACATATTAAAATATGAATCACAGACCTTAACATCTTCACCAAAATGAACACAAAATAGATTACAAGTCTAAATGTAAAACACAAAACTCTAAAATTCCTAAAAGATAGCACACAGGAATTATAGATGACCCTGAGTTTAGCAATGGCTTTTTAGATACAGCATCAATGATTTAATTCCTAAAAGAAATAACTGATAACCATATAATTTACCAAAATTAAACATTTCTACTCTGTGAAAGACAATATCAAGAAATGGAAAAGAAAAGACATAGACTGGAGGAAAATATTTATAAAACATGTATCTCGTAGCTCTTAAAACTCAAAAATAAGAAAATAACTAAAAAAAATAATAAATGAGCCAAAGACTTTAGCCAACACCTCACCAAAGAAGACACACAGATGACAAAGAGGCAGACAAAATGATGCTCCACGTCATATTTCACCAGGGAAAAACAAATAAGAACAATATATCAGTACACACTTACCTATAATGGCCAAAATCTAGAACACTGACAACACCAAATGCTGGCAAAGACGTGAAGCGAAAGGATCTCTCATTCATGCTGGTGGGAATGTAAAACGGTACAGCCAGTTTGGATGACAATTTGACAGTTTTTTTTTTTTTTTTTTTTTTTTTGAGACAGAGTCTCGCTCCGTCACCAGGCTGGAGTGCAGTGGCGCGATCCCAGCTCACTGCAACCTCCACCTCCCGGGTTCAAGCAATTCTCTTGCCTCAGCCTCCTGAGTAGCTGGAACTACAGGCACACGCCACCATGCCCAGCTAATTTTTGTATTTTTAGTAGAGACGGGGTTTCACCATGTTGGCCAGGATGGTCTCGATCTCTTGACCTCATGATGCGCCCGCCTTGTTCTCCCAAAGTGCTGGGATTACAGGCATAAGCCACCGTGCCCGGCTGGCAATTTCTTATAAAATTAAACATGCTCTTACTATTTGATTCAGTAATTAGAGTCCTTAGTATTTACCCAAAGATGCTGAAAACTTAGGTCCACACAAATCTTCACATGGACCTTTACAGCAGCTTTATTCATAACTGCCAAAGCTTGGAAGCAGTCAAGATGCTGTTCAGTAGATAAATGGATAAACGATAGTACATCCAGAAATAAAATATTATTCAGTGTTAAAATGATATATGCTATCGAGCCTGAAAATACATGGATGAAACTTAAGTGTTTATTACTAAGTGAAAGAAGCCAGTCTGAAAGGCTAAATAGTATATGACCAACAATTTGATATTCTGGAAACAGTAAAACTATAGAGACAGTGAAACAATTAGTGGAGTTTGTGGGGAATAAGGAATAAATAGAGCATGGAGTCTTTTTAGGGCACTGAAACTATTTTGTTTAACTCTATAATAGTAGATACATGTCATTATATATTTGTCCAAACTAACAGAATGTACCATTTCAAAAGTCAACTGTAATGCAAACTATTGACTTTGGGTGATAATGTATCAATATAGACTCATCAATTGTAAGAAACATGTCACTCTTGTGGGGGTTGTTGTTAATGGGGGACACTATGCATGTATGGGGGTGTCAACCTAAATAAGAAACAGTGAGATGTTCTCTATAAATTAAAAAAAATGGGGAAATAAAGTATTGCAATGGGAACATATGGGCATTATAAACTGTGCATATTTAGGAAGGTAAAAGAAGACATAGCTTTTTAAAGAAAAAAATGAGGATTACCTAATTGTTTTGAAATAATTATCCTTGGCTCCAAAGATCAATAATAAAGGCAATGCTAGTCAAAAGCTGGACAGGCAGTTGCTGGGCAGATGTCCTTGCAGAAATATTTTTTGTGTAAGGTTGTGATGGCCTTTGTGCAAGGCTGTGATGTTCTGCAGTCTCTCATGAAACTTTTTGTTATCAGGCATATAGCATGAGAACCCTTTCTTTACAGCCTTCCCCAGCTTTATGTGTTATGGTTTTCTTAAATTAGGGACTCCATTTTAATTCTGACAACTTTCAGAGAGGGATGGTGTACACAAGAAGACTGTAACACTGCTAGATTTTGCTGTGAACCTTAAACTTCTCTAAGAAATAAAGTATATTAAAAATAAAGAGAAAATCGAATTAATCCTTATAAATATTTAAATTAAAAGGTCTCCAACGTGTTTTTCTGAAGCCTAACAAGATTTAATTCACATTAAGGGTAAATGTTCTTAAAATTTTATGCCAGATACAGTTTCTTTGAGATGTAAATCTTGCAAGAAATAACAAGACTGTTTATATTATATTAGGTTATTTAAAAACTATGAAAATAAAAATAAAATATATAAAACACTGTAACTTTAGTCCACATCAAAGATATACATAAAAAAATAAATAAAATTTAGTCCATTTAAATTTAGCTATTTAGCCATGTTTTCACTGCTTAAGAAATTTTTATTAAAGCCACTAATATAAGTTAAATGTTTTATTCCATTAACACAGCAATGGTTCATAATTAGAACACCACTTTAGTTTATTAGTTAAATCAAAAGATTAAAAATCAGAAATAATCATAGCATTATATCTCAGAATAAAATATTTAATAATAAGCATGCTGAACAGCATAATATAAATTCTTATTAAGCATGAAATGTTTGCAAACAGAACTAAGAAAGCAAGTATTTCAATATTTGCTAACATGAAAACAGATTCAAGATATATAGTTTTAAAAAAGAATACTACATAACAATAGATTCACCGAACTATTTTTTCAACTCACATAATTATGTGTAAATGGATTTTTACGAGAGTTTCCCTGACTCTTGCCACAGAACTGACAACAGTGGTTCCTGGTTGAGGCAGTGGCAGACATGATAAGAAAGACTGCTTTGCTCCTTTCTCTCAAGTCTCAAACTGTGTCATTATTAGGAGTTTTACCACAAAACAAATATATATATGGTAATGTTTAAAATAAAATAATATTTAATAAAAATTGATAGTACCAGAATTTGGCTTTGACCTCTTTTTTTTTTTTTTCTCTCCATCACTCAGGCTGGAGTGCAGAGGCACGATAATTAGCTCACTGAAGCTTCAACCACCTCAACCTCCAGCCTCAACCTCCTGGGCTCAAGCCATCCTCCTCTATCAGCTACTCAAGTAGCTGGGACTATAGGCACATACCACCAAGCCTGGCTAATTTTTAAAAATTCTGTAGAGACAGGGTCACACTATGTTGCCCAGGACTATGAACTCCTGGCCTCAAGTGGTCCTCCTGTCTCAGCCTGCCAAGGTGCTGGGAGCCACTGTGCCTGCCCTGGTTTTGATCTCTTGATGGTTAAGACAGTTCGCTGCCCCAGTGTCTCAGCTGAATTGCATACATACAAAATTTTGTGTTTTTAAAAAAAGACCCGGTCAGGTGCAGTGGCTCACGCCTATAATCCCAGAACTTTGAGAGGCTGAGGCAGGTGGATCACATGAGGCCAGGAGTTTAAGACCAGCCTGGCCAACAAGGCAAAACGCCATCTCTACTAAAAATACAAAAATCAGCCGGGCGTGGTGATGTGCACCAGTATTCCCAGGTACCAGGGAGGCTGAGGCACGAGAATTGCTTGAACCTGGGAGGCAGAGGTTGCAGTGAGCCAAGATTGTGCCACTGCATTCCAGCCTGGGCAACAGAGCAAGACTCTGTCTCAAAAACAAAACAAAAAAACAAACGAACAAACAAACAACAAAAAGACCTAACCCAATGGCTACATGAGTCACTCCATGAACAAGGTTTCCACGGGATGGATATTCTGTCAATGATTTAAACAACTTCCTAGTGTTAAATGCTTAGGTTGATTCAACTTTTTGAAAAGCAATTATGAAATGAAACCACCCTTTATCATCTGCATGAAATCCAACCTTTATTTCTCGATGATATCAATTTTTGAATAATTTATTCCATTCTAGTCCAAATCAACACTACAGGGCCAGGTGCAGAGGCTCACACTTGTAACCCCAGCACTTTGGGAGCATGAGGCGGTGGATTACTTGAGGCCAGGAGTTCAAAGCCAAATCAATAGTACTTTTGGGCCAGAATCACACTGATTCAGTTGGTTGAGCTTCAAATTCACAATGAAGTCAAGTAGAACAAGTTTCCCCTTATTAATCTTTGTCCAGGATTTTCCACCTACACATAAATACACTACTTATTTGTGCAGTTTCTTTAATCCTCATCCACTGGGAGCAGACAATGCATCCGATGTGTCCCCTAAACAATCCCTGCTGTCCTATCCCTCTAACCCCACAGGACCCGCTCCCTGTCCCCAACCCAGGTCTTGGGTATAGTCCTGCCCAGGATGACCCCCCAAATGGCCTCTTCACAGGCCCATTTCACTGGGTCACAGTGACATGGAGATGGGAGGGGACTGAGGCAAGGCCCTCAGTGAGTACCAGCAAATGTGTGCGGCAGGACATTGCAGAGTCAGAGATTAGCAAGTCCTGAACACAGCACTGCAGGGAGAAGACAGAACAATCAACCACAGTGTGACTTTCACCTGGGAAAGTGCTAGTTCTGACTCTTCTTTCTTCTCTCTCCTCCTTCAGGCTTGTTTCTTAGGTAAAATCGGTCTGGATAAGTCACTCTTGAGTGTGGAAAATATTTTTTTTAGGGCTTCAAATCAACACACTACTTCCTGGGGCACAAACCTGCCAAGAGGGGGAATTCAACATGTGGAAGAGGTGGTCCTACGCTGTCCACTGGAAAAGGAGGGACTCAGGGAAAAGAAACTCCTACATGAGGAAAGTGAGCTAGTTCTATTCCTGTCCTCAGAACACCCTCCAGCTGAATGAAGCCACATACTAAGTGCCAGCCATGGGGATGTGGCGGGACTGACCCCCCACTTCAAGTTACAGAGCCCACAGTCCCTGCACAGGATCACCAGGGGAGGGTGGGCAGAGCTTTTCCCTTCTCCTGGTCCTGAGCTTCCCAGTCTCCCTCCCATTTCCGAGCCTTAGCCCCCAAACTGCAGTTAGCCTCCTTCACCAGGCTCCCCTCTCAAGGCCTGGTGCTCCTCCTCATTGCACAGTCAGTGAGTAAGTGAAATACACTTACTTTATAAACATGTAAATAGGACTATGAAAGTATATAAATCAAGGAGGGCATACAGGGAGGTGGAATATAGAGAAAGTATTCTGGAAAACTTTGTATAAAATAAATGAACGTTGAAAGACTCACCTAAAGTAACCAGATGACTGCTTCTCCAGCATCACGTCTCTGTGCAGCTTTCCCTGAAGGACACATTCTTCCTGAGTGAGGTCCACAGTATCATCCTTGAGGGATACTTATTTCGGGAAATACCGCAGACATTCTCATTCAGGCTGCACCATCCCTGACAATGTCCATAGCAAATGGTCAAAGACAATCTCGCTTTTCCACTGGGGGATAAAAAAAAGAAACAGCTAAGTTTATGAAAAGCTCAAGGTCTTTTTGAGGTCTAGTAAAATTCCCTGGGCTGACTTGGCATACACCTTTCAAATACATCCACAGAGATGCACACACTCTGAATACATGATAAACTTTATTATAAAGGAATGTCACAGGTGTGGTTAAATATCCTTATTCTGCAATGAAATGCTAATTGTTCCCTTGCCCGAGACAGATTTATGTTCCAAAGTGTAAATATATTTGAGCCCAAATATTTAATATTGAAAGCCCTTAAAATATGGAGACAGAAGAATCACTTCTAGGAAAATCAGAAGGGTGATTTTTTTGGAAAAAAAATTTTTGGAAAAAATCTTTAAGAGAGGAAGGGGTGAGGCAAATGGAAAAATAAGGCCCTCCAGTGATCATCTCCCCCACAAAAACATGAAATTAAACAACTATCCAAGCACAAAAGCACCTTTACAAGTGCTAAGGAATCCAATAGAGCACCTGTTTTTAGCACAATAAGAAAAGAGGCATTGAAGAAGGTAGGAAGGACAGAGTCTCACTGCTCACCTCAGCGCTTCCCCAACTCCAGGCAGTGCAGCACAGAAACACAACCCACAGGAGGGAAGGTGAGTGATGTGACTGAAGGACTTTGACTTGGATCCCAGTGTTGGGCCCAGCACAGTAAAACACAGGGCCAGGGAGAACCCCACAGCCACTGACCCCAGGCCAAAACCCATGGACAAAGTCTCTGGAATCACCCCAGCACTTGGTGGAAAACTGCAGCCCCAATAGGACAGTCTCATGTTCTGACCTGCACCACCTCTGGCCTTCGATAGTGGCATCAGGCCACGAGCAAACCTCAGCAGTAGTCAGGGCGTATCAGCATGGGCCTGGGACACACTCCAGGGTTGTGCTGGCCCCAGTTTCCATTGGCTTTGGCCCGATCCAGCTAAGCATGAGTCTTGGTGGCCAAGGGACTGCCCTCACCATCCCTCTCTAAACCCTGGGCAGCACAGTGCAAAGAGTGACTCCACCCACTGGAGGGAAGGAAAGGAAAGAAACTAAGCACAGGGCTTTGCCTGGCAATGCAGTGCTGGCATACCATCGTGAAACCCAACACTGGGGAAGACTCAGTGGCCCCTGACCCAGGCTGGTCCCTGTGGACAGAGCCACTGGACTTGTCACAGTGCCAGGTGGAGACCAGCAGCCCTGGTGGCACAGTCTCATGTCCCAGCCCACATCACCACTGACTCTCTGCAGCAGCCTAGAGCCATGAATAAATCTCAGGGGCCGGAAAGCTGTAGCCGTGGAACTTGAGGATCCCCCTGCGCTGCGCTGGCCTCAGTGGCTTTGGGCATGATGTAGCATCATAGCAGCTGTGGTGGCCACAGGACTCCCTGTCTCATCCATGCCCCACTACAAGCAGCACAGCATGGAGACTGCTTCAGGGAAGCAAAGGAAAGCAGGCACATGTGGCCTTGCAGCCCAGTGCTGAGCTCACTACAGAGATCCAGCCCTGGGCACAGCCCTGCAGTGCTTGACCCCAACCTGGGGACCGTAAACAGAACCCCTGGAGCTGTTCCGGCCCCAGGCAGAAACGTGCAAACCCAGTGGGATGAAATACACTCTGTAAGCCCCGCTCTAGTCCTTCCAGGCCAGAACGACAAAGCAACTTTGGATATGTGGCAAATCCAGGCTTAGAGCGCCCTCTAATGCTAAAAAAGCAGCAGTGACCACAGTTGAAAAATGTAATGAACCAAATAAAAAATACCAGCAGAATCAATCAATCAAACAGAAAAAAGAATCAATGAGCTCAAAGACAGGCTTTTTGAAAAGATATCAAATCAGACAAGGACATAACAACAACAACAAAATTACAGGACTATTTCCCTGAAGAATATAGATGCAAAAATCCTCACAAAATACTAGCCAACTAAATCCCATTGCACATCGTGAAGATTATTCACCAAGATCAAGTAGAATTCATCCCAGAAATATAAAGATGGTTCAACATATGCAAATCAATAAAGGTGATACATCAGATTAATGGAACGAAGGACAAAAACCATACGCTCATCTCATTAGATAAAAACTGTCAACAGATTGGGTATAGAAGAAATATACCTCAATATAATAAAGGCCATATATAACAGAACCATCATACTGAATGGGAAAAGCTGGATGTTTTCTCTCTAAGATCTGACACAAGATAAGGATGCTTATGTTTACCATTTTTATTCAATGTAGTACTGAAAGTCCTAGCCAGACCAATCAGGTAAGAAAAAGAAATAAAAGGCACAGCTGCATAGCTACTTTTGTGTTAATATATTATTTTTATTAGAAAATATATTTTGGTGAATGTGAAAATTTTATAAAAGTGAGCTCCTATCAGTGTACACTCTAAAAACCATGCTTCATTCCATCTTACCTGAACTGTAACCCACTGTTTATGGGACTTGGGTGACAAAATCCCAAGTCTTCAATATCAGCCAGATAACACAGGCAGAACTTCCTCAAATAAAACTCTTAGGAGCTACTGATGTTGCCATGATTAAAGGAGAAGAAAGGGATGGGTCATTTGTTTTCTCATTTGCAACATGATCATAAAAAATGTGTGCGTCCTTGTGTTGGATGTTTAAATCGTATCATTTATGTACATCACTTACTGATGTGCTTACATTTGAAAACATAAAAAGAGCATAGCTTGGTTTGTCATTATCATATAGGTCAACAATACCATCATTGTCATCACCATCATTATATTTTGTACATTAAAGTAAAAATGGACAAAAAGGATCTGGGAGGTGAGATTGACCATGCATTGTGTGAACAGATTATGGATGTGAGTACACTGGACAACATGCCCCACCTTGTAGCAAAATTCTGTCTGGAAAACAAGGAATGGAACTATGTAGAGAGAGCTGGCACACTCAGAGAAAGCAAGATCATCACCAATTAGATGTCAGTGCTATTTACAGAGATATTGAAACCTATGGACTCCAGGAGGATAGAGAAACTTCAGGAACATTTGGGTAATGGGTGGCTGCTATTACTTAACACCTATGTGACAATTATCCCGTTTTAGCAAATGGAAAGTACAGCTTAGGATGCTTGTTTGCCTCTAGCATGTTTATAGTATCAAGACATTTGAATCTTTTTTCAGGAAAATCAGAAGAGAAAGTCTTGTTCCAAAGTAAAGAATTAGAAAAACTCGGAGTAGCTTCATCACATATAAAAAGCTGCCTTGACTGCGAAACCCAAGCAGTCCTGCACCATAGTCAGTTCCCCTGATCAATAACAAAACAAGGGGAAAGTCTGGTTTTCTTGCTGAAGAGATTTCACTTTACCATCATATTCTTTGTAGCTTAGCAACAAGAAAATGTGATTTGTTCATATTTTATTGTTCATGGCTAAGTGCATATGATACAGGTTGAGAAAAAAATTAAAACCCAAGCACAGAGATCAGGACCACATAAGGTTCAAAATTCCTTAAATTTCATTCTAGTTAAAAATGAGTTCTGGCATATCCATCCCTTATCAAAGAAAAGATAAAAGTTGTCTTAAATGAATAATATATGGAGTAAAAATTAAAGGAGACAAATATACTTATAACTGCTTAATTCTGAGAAATGATAATCTTATATCCAAGGAATTGAAACGGTGAAATCACCATAATTACTTTAATTTCTTTATTTTAAATGTGATTGCAGCCTTGTCACTGTCTCCTTATTTGAAATTTCTTAACTGCTACAGCACATACTTAAGTATTGACATCATTAATTTGAAATTTGCAAAACTAAAACTGGGACAAGGAGGACTTTGGAAAATAGTTTGATTTTTTTAGGAATATTAGATACATTCTATATGTAAGATATGTTTTTGGAATTTTTTTTTAAACTCATGTCTGACTGAAAAAAACATTTATTTTTTAAAAATTACCTACATTCCTAGAACTCACTTTTCAAATAAAAGTTTTAATTTTTACGAACATGAAAGAAGCAAAACTTACAGAATTAAAACTTATTCCATCTGTGATGAATATAAGTATGAAAATGAATTAATAAAGTTTTGGTCTAAAATGACTAGGTAATATATGTAGCTTAAGAACTATATAGCAAGTAAATGAAAGTCATTTTATTCAGAGAATTTGATGGGAACCTAATATTTTTTGAGTATTTCCTATAAGATAAATGAAACTAGACTAACTTGTATGAGTCACCAAATTAAAGGATAAATATGCGAAGAAAACAAATTCTTTATTGCATTATAATGAAAAGAATCTTATGAACTGTAGGACTCTTTGATCTGGATGTTTAGTCTGAGGCTAATGAAAGAACTCATTCATCTGATTTTTTCCATGGCCTGTCTAGGATTTCCGGACACACACTGAGTCTAGAACTGTGGGCTAAATGGGCATTTCTTGAGTAAAAGAGGTAGACATCAAACTGTACACTGTGATTTATTTAACTTTTATGGAGTTGAAAAAATAATGTATGTTAACAGAAATCAAAACAGGGGCTGCATATGGTGGGGTGAGTGGATATTGGTTAACAAGTTACAAGGAGGTATTTTCTGCATCAATAGACATGATCCATATATTGATAAGGCTGTTGTATACTACAGGGAATATGAAGTTTAAAACTCTGTAACGTGCACATTTTACTATATTTTAATTTTATATTTATACAAAATTTTTTAAAGGAAAAAAATAATCATTAAACAGTAATGGAGATAGGCCTATTTTATTTGTAAATCTTCTCTGACGGTAAAACTGACCAATTCAGGCTGCCAGTTGATGGCTGGGTTTCAGGTGGAATGTTGGGATGTTCTTTGGTGTTTGTTGTTCCAGTAGGATCCACGGTTACCGGGCAGAGCCGTGATGGCTGCGGTGCAATGGAGGGACTGCAATCCTCTGTAGAGCTGAGGCCTGGGCTGACCCCTTGGGAAGCTGGACGAGGTGACTGTGGAGATGCTCGGTCCACGACTCACCTTCCATAGCCTCCAGGGGTAGACACCGGTGTGTCCACCGCTCACTGGCTCATGGGTTGGTCCCTTATTTTTATTGAGACCTGTTCAATCTGTTAGAAACTGACTTTACATAAGGCATGAAAAGCAGCCTGCGGAATCACTAGCTACACAGATTGAGGATAAATACCAACTCACTGACAAACGGCACTTGTGTTCAGAGTGTTCAGAGACGGAGTCATTTTTAGAAATGCCAGGCTAGAGAGTGTTTCAGTATAGCCACCCTTGCCGAGGCTTACAGAAGGGCAAAGACCACCATCTCAAGATTGATGGAAGAATCAGTTTTCTTGGTTCAAGAAATGAAGACGGAGAAATACAAATGTTCTAAACAAGAAGAGGTGACAGACGAGAGGCTAAAAATGCTAGAGTTCCTAGAAGAGCTCATAGGAATCACCCCATCACAAGCAATCTTTCCAAACCTCCCAGGAGGCCAAGAGCCAAGCAAGCCCTGCTGGTCCCTTCCCCAGGAGTGGGCCTGGGTCTTAAAGAGTGCTGCCCCTCCCCTCCACTCAGGCCTCCCAAGCTGCCAGGTGCATTCACTCACTTCGACTCCATCTGAGGGTCCAGGGGAGCCCCTTCCTGGGCTGGAGTTCCTCCCCCATCACATGCTGGACACAGCAGTCGGCTCCTTCATGGGCAATTTCTCCAAATTTAAAGAAGACTGGAGATCCCGGAACACAGCAAGAAATGTGAAAGTTTCTCAGAAAGTTTGATTCGCTCTCATTGGCAGTGAAAGAAATGCTATACTTGAGACACTAATCTCTTCCTCAAATTGAAACATCATCAAAGTACATTTCTCAAGATAAAGCTCTGCAAATGTTAACTATATAAGTAAATAATTTACATTTTATTCTCCAATTATTGTATTATACTTTGAAAATATATGCAGTTTGTTAATAAAGACTTTTAGTACTCAATAGCAATATTTTTTCTAGAGTTATATTTCTAACAGTTATAAGTTAAAGCATTATTTTTTGGACTTAGTATGTATTCATTGAAAAATAAAAACAAAATGCTTAATATATTTATTTGGGGATAAAGTGGGAAGGCATGTTTGAACTTTATATTATTTAATTGCTATATTCTAATAATGGATAAATTTTTTTTATAAAAAATTGTTAAATTACACGGAGATGGTTTTCTTCTACTTGTAGTGCACTGTAGGAAAAGACTTTTTAAAGAAATCCTCTTGGATTGGGGAATTCCACATCACTGCCCCCCATTTCCTGTCAAAATCACCAGAACACTTCTCAGTGGAAAGCTGAGAAAAGTTGTAAGGGAATTTTCTCTCACAAAATTAAGCCAGGGTTTCCACAATGAGTATCTTTAGTCACCAAGGATACACCATTATTATGCGGTGAAGACAAACTGGGTCTTATGGTGGAAGAGAAGCAGCAAGTGACTTTTGAGTACAAAGAGTGGGGGTACAGGAGTAACATGAGATCAGTGACAGAGACAGCATCATCAGAAGTGCTCAGGTTGAAGACAGAGCAATGAAGACTCGAAAGTCCTTGTCCTCTTGATGACATTTTAGGAAGAAAAGGCAGATACCAAACAATATTATTAAATAAAGGCATAAATGGACACAGAGCATCAGAAGGTGGTTAAGTTTTACGGAGAAGAATGAAGAGGGGAGGGGAGGCAGTGACACATGGGAGGATGGGGGCAATATTGGTAGAAGAGGTCAGTAAAAAATATTGAGGATCACACACCTGAGCAGTGAGGACACCTGGGGTAAAGCTTTGCAGGTGAGGGGACAGAAACGACAATAGCCCAGAAGTGGGTATGAATGTGGTGGGTGTGAGAACCAGCCTGAGGTCAGAGTGGCTTGAATTCAGTGAACGATGGCCAGAGGAAGTTTAGTGAAGGCCACCAAGGGTCAGATGATGGAGGGAGCTCTCACCATGATAAGAATTTCATTTCAATTTAAAAGGTCAGGAGCTGCTGTGTGTGGAAACTGGTAAAGCAGAGAGACCAGCTGGGAGGCCGTACCAGTGAATCGAAGTTGAGGAAGGTGATGGATTGACCTAGGGGGCAGTGGAGGTAACGATGGAGAGATGGGGTGAAGTCCAGGACCTGTGCTGGAGGCAGAGACCCTGAGACTTGCTGATGTCTATGGGTGCAAAGAAGAGGGGAGTCAGGACCAGGATAAGGGGTCAGGCCTCCATGGGCATCTGTGTGAAGGGGGTGTCCTTCATTGGAACACGAAGAGATGGCAGAGAAGTGCATGTGGATGGGAAATTGGAATGAGCTTGTTTGGGAGAAGACTTTAGACAGAGACCCTGATAATGAAGTCAAAATATCAAGTAATCAGGGGGATATAAGTGTAGGACTTAGAGGAGCAATCACAGCTGTAGTTATAAATGTGACAGGTCATTGGGGAGTGAAGTTACCACAACAGAGATGACGTGCAAGGCCTGAGAAGATTCCATGGGGCAAATTCAATGGTCTTGTTGGTGGCCAGAGCCTTCCTTAGGCTTCCTAGTCTCAACAATATCACAGAAAGCCTCGACAGTGACCTACCCAAGTCTCTCTCCATGAACTGGGACTTCAGTTGCGCAGAATCCCCATAAATCAGCCTCCAGTATTTACATGTATGTATGTGTGTCCACACACCATGCATATATATGTACATCCTGAGGAAGATTCTCTCCTCGACCGAGTTCTAGCCAGGCTCCCCTAAGCCCTCTTGTCAACTAGGCCTCAATCTTAGCCTATAAAATTTACAGACTCAGCAGAAATAATTGTGTCCACCTCTCTTCCTACATTTAAAGATTTAAACAAACACTTACATGGTTTCTATCAGCACAGGGCTGCATCCCTAGGATAAAAGTGCCTGCCTGAGAAAACTCAAGACTGCCAAACAATTCACTGTTTTGGAAACACCTGACAATAAGCCCATCTTCCTTTCTTAGAGATTACCAGAAAGAGCTACACAATGGTGAATCCTTCCTCTATCACTTTGAGATGTATATTTCCTATACATCAGGAGTGTCTTTCTCAAGAACGTGACAGGCATTCCTTTGAAATGTAATCATCAGGAACTACAGAGCCTCTATTTCCCAGTCTGTGCGAAAGGGCAGAGTCCATCCACATGGCCAGCTAGAGACACCGCTGCTTAATCTCACTTACACTGACCAACCCTTTGAAAGTTTCTACTTTCCTGAGTCTACTGAGATCCCACTCATCCCCCTCCATCCTGCCGCTTTCTCCTTTAAAACATCCAGTCATCTCTGTTCAAATTAAAGTTGAGTTTAGTTCATGAGGGACTCTCTTTCCTACCAGAATAGTATATTGTTGATTAAAATCTGCCCTTACTACTTAACCAGTGCCTTTATCTTTGACAGTTAATACATGTACATATATGTATACTCATATGCATCTACATACACCTATAACAATACATATATACACACATATTTAGAAATATGTACATATTCTTAATGGCTACTATTAAAAGAAAAACTTTAAACAAATTAAGAGTTTAATTGAGCAAAGAACAATTCACACATCTGGCTCCACCAGAACCAGAGTATGTTCAGAGTGGCTCCAGGGCTTCCAGGTGGCTGAATAACATTCATGGACAGAGAAACGAAAGTGGCATACAGAAAATTAAAGTGAGGAACAGAAACAGCTGAATTGGTTACAGCTTGACATCTGCCTTATCTGAACATGGCTTTAACAATTGTCTGACTGTGACTGGCCAAAATGTGGCTGCAGTGATTGGCTGAGACTTGGCTACCTGTTACAGGAGTAGGTTACAATCTGTTTACACATCCAATTAGGTTATGATTCACTATGTATGAAAAAACCATCAGTCTGAACTTAAAATATGTTAACGAGATAGCTTTCAGCTAACAATTCTTTGTCTCTCCTACTTATTTTAAAGATATTACTAGACATTTCCTTGAAGTTTTCCTATGATCTCTGCATTTATTTTCTTTTCCTTTGGTTTCTTGCTTTAATGCGTGTGTTTCTTCTCCATCTTTCATGCTACAGGAAGTCCTCAAATATCAAGTGGTCTTTGGCCCCCATACATATTTATGTGGCAGAAAGGAAACAGCTAAGTGGAGCTCTGTATGCCTGGGGCCTGTCCTTCTCAACACTTTTCTTCAGAGATGTTGAGTGTTGAACTAGTAACAGGCAAACAATAGTGTTGCCCACACTAACCTCTAAAAACATTATGTCTCTTTCTAAATGCTCTGTCTAGGACTTCTAGTATTATATTGCATAAAAGTGGTAAACATCGGTATCCCTGCCTTGTTCCAGATCTTTTATAAAACCGGCTTTTTCCTTTTCAGTATAACATTAGCATTGAGTGCTACATACGGCCTTTATTATGTTAAGGTGTTTTTCTTCTACACCTAATTTGTTGAGTTTTTAATCATAAAGAAATGTTGAATTTTACAGATTGCTTTTTCTACATCTATTGAGATGATCATAAAGTTTGTGTCCTTCATTCTGCTGATGTGATGTATTATGTTTATCAACTTGCATATGTAAAGCATCCTTGCATTGCTGGCATAAATTCTATTTGAGCATGGTCGATAATCTTGTTAATGTGCCATTGGATTTGGTTTTCTAGTATTTTGTGAGAATTTTTTAAAATTTATGCTCGCAGAGATTGGCCTATAGTTTTTTTGTTTCTGTGCCCTTATCTTGTTTTGCTATATTTTCAAATAGCCTGTCTTTGAGCTCACTGATTTTTTTTTGTTTGATTGATTCTGTTGTTGATGCCCCCAGATGCATTTTTATTTTGTTCATGTTGTTTCCTGGCTCCAGTATTATTTACATCTTAAAACATTATTTCAATCTTTCAACTTACTCTGATAAATTTCTGAATTAGTGATCTGTGTTTTTTGAAGTTCACTGAGTTTCCTTAAAATAGCTATTTTGAATTATGTCCGTAAGATTATACAACTTCGTCACTTTAGGGTCAGTCCCTGGTGCCTTGTCCATTTGGTGAGGTCATTGTTCCCTGAATGTTCTTGATGTTAGGGGCACGTGACAATCTCGTGTATTGGAGAATTCCATTTTTTGTTGTGTGTCCATAGTTGTTATGTTCTTTTGGCCCAGAGGAACTAGAGCAAAACCTAAAGGGGTCCATTTGGTTCTGCAAGTTTTTGCCTGGAGACAGGGAAACTCCAGAGGTTTTATGTATGGTCATTAGCTTCGGGAGAGTCACTGTGTGACTCTGCCTCGTGCTGGGCTTCACTGTGGCAGGCCTAGCACTGGGTTGCAGGGCCATGTGTTGTGCCTACTTTTCTTTCCTTATCCCAAAGAGACCTCTTTATCCACTCAGTGCTCCTTAGTTGAGGAATGGTGTTTGTGGCCGCTGCAGTCATTGTAACACTGGGTTAACCCAAAGCCCACAGCTGCAAAGACCAAGGCAGCACAGAGACATCCTTAGACAACATGCTGCTATGGCTTGCCTGCCAATGAGGTTTATTATTGGCTCTAGGCTGCAGCAGTGCAGCAGTGATACAAATAAGGACAAGAGACTGTGTCACCAGAGCTGCGGGTCTCCACATGGCACTGCAGCAGTTCCAGCAGCTCTATCTGTGGGCATTGGCCTGGGGTCACGAACCATCAGGTTCTGGCCAATGTTGGGTTTCACCATGTCAAGCTAGTACTGAGCTGTAAGACAAAGTCCTGCATTTACTTCTCTCTCCCTCCCTGCCAGTGGATAGAGTCACTCTGCACTGTGCTGCCCAGGACTGGGGGAGAAAAGGTAGGAGCAGTCTCTTGGTTGCCAAGGCTGATGCTCATCTGGGTCACATCCAAATCCCATGCTGCCAGGACCAACACAGCCCTGGGTGCTCTTGTGGCCCAGGCTGACATGGCCTGTCTGCCAGTGGGGTTCACTCGTGGCCTAAGGCCACTGTGGAAGGCTAGCAGTGGTGTGAGCTGGAACACAAGACCATGGTTTGGGGCTGAAGGTTTCTGCCTTGCACTGGGGTGAGTCCAGAGGTGTCACCTACAGGACCTGGCCTGAGGTCAGGGGCCATGGGTTTCTGCCTGGTACTGGGTTTTGCCATGATGGGCCCAGCACTGGGCTCTAAGTCAAAGTCCTTTATGTACTTCCCACTTCTTTCCCCCGAGTGGGCTGCATCTCTCTCTATGCTGCACTGTGGAAAGCTGGGAGATGGGTGACACAGGCAATGTGACTCTGCCCTTCCTACCCACTTCACTGTCTCTATTATTGTGTCAAAACCAGGTATTATAATTTCTCACCTGAATTCCTTGGCTCTTGTGAAAGTTATTTGTAGATAGTTGTTCAATTTGATGTTTCTGCAGGAAGATGAACACTGAAGGGTTCTATTTCACCATTTGCTTCATTCCCTCGTGTATAAAGATTACTTTCAAAGACACTCTTCTGACCTTCCCAGGACTGATTCTCATATGTCCCACTTTTTAAATTTTTATTTTATTTTTTAGAGACACGGTCTTGCTCTGTCACCTAGGCTGGAGTAGAGTGGCATGGTCATACCTCACTGCAGCCTCAAACACCTGGGCTTGAGCAATCCTCCCATCTCAGTCTCCCGAGTAGCTAGGATCACAGGTGTGTGCAACCACACCCATCTATTCATGTCTCCAACCTTTAAGAGCTTTCAATATTAAATATTTGGGCTCAAGTGAAGTTAAGTTTTGGAGAGTAAATCTCTCTTGTGCAAAACAGAAAACAACAGTGGTGTTCCTATAGATGAAAGAGGGAGAGGACAGCATTGCCCACTGCTCCCAGGTATCAAGGGCTGAGTTCCCTTCCTGTGAGTTCAGCTCACCCTATTCCGACTTGCTGGGAAGTGGACACAGATGAAGGATCCAGGTTGTTGGCCATTTGGAAGTGAAGGGGTGCTGATATCTCAACGCTTCATTTCATTTTTCTCCAACTCTTTCTCTGCTTATATACGAGTTGAGTGATGTTGCTCTGCTGTGTAAACCATCAGTTTCCAACCACCTTCTCCATCAAACCTTATGCACTCAAGTTTATACATAGTGTGTGCTCCTGGAGTCTCCAAATCAAATGAAGTAGTTCCTTTTGGCTACAAATTAGATTGGATGAGAGGTGAGCAGTAAAAACAGTGATGATGAAATTAACAATTTCCTCAATTTATGGCTTCATCATTCTTATTACAATGAAGAAAAAGTTTCTAGTGATTTGTTGGAAAAACTGCTTCACTAAAATACTAGTATTTTTCTTTTCAGGAGAAACTACAGCCCTATATAAGCACAATGGTTGCAGGATGGAGTTTCAGAGGGTGACACAGATGGTCTCAGGTGGAGGTGGCCCCACTAAATGGAGTGTAGTATGTGTAAAGCAGCCTGTGCCCACATCATCACCTGGAAATGGCCATCCCATATCAGTATGACCTCAAGTCCTCATGGAGGTGCAAGTCCAAGTGGTCAAATAACCTGGCGTTGAAGGTGGCCTCCAGCTTGAAAGCAAAGATGTGCTGAGATATCCTCTATAAATCACATTAGGGAGCCCTTGTGGAATAAGGCAGTTGATGCATTTGGTTTAGAATGGTAAAATCAAGGGGCTTGGATGTACAGATTCCAGTTCCCCTGAATGGGGACATGACCACATGAAGGACTGGCAAGTAAGAAGTTTGTAAATAATGTGGCTCTCAGTGTTGGAAACATTTGTCAGTATTTTGTCCTTTTGAGTTTATGCAAGATCAGTAGGATGCTTTTGTCCCAATACTGCTCATGTTTTTCATGATGAAAATGTTTGTGTGTATATGTATGTTTATATTAATACTCTAACAAATGCCATGTGTGAAGTAAAAAAACACAGTAACTCACAAGTAGAAAGTGCGAGGTGAGTAACAAACACAATGAGTTTGTGGTCAACATCCTATGGCTGATGACCTCATATCCAGACTCAAGAGTCACATTTCAGAGGCCCCAGAGCTCTCATCATTGATAACCTCAATTTATTTCCAATGATAGACCCTCATACACAGAGCAACAGACCTGACCCCTATGGTCTCCACACTGTCCTCTACATTGTCCCTTTCACTGTCCCTGTTGAAAATCAGTCGCCTATACAACTTTCACTGTCTTTTTTTTTTTTTTTTGAGATGGGAGTCTCACTCTGCTGCCCATGCTGGAGTGCTGTGGCACAATCTTGGCTCACTGCAACCTCTTCCTCCCAGGTTCAGGTAATTCTCCTGCCTCAGCTTACTGAGTAGCTGGATTACAGGCACCCACCACAACGCCTGGCAAATTTTTGTATTTTTAGTAGAGACGGGGTTTCACCATGTAGGCCAGTCTGGTCTCGAACTCCTGGCCTCAAGAGATTCACCTGCCTTGGCCTCCCAAAGTGCTGGGATTATAGGCATGAGCCACCACGCCTGGCCAACTTTCACCTTCCATTTTTTAGTATTCCCATCATTAACTGCACTGATGGCTGCCTCCTGTCAGGGTGTCTCCAGCTTTGTTAATCTCTCAGGATAGCAGTGGATATTCAGGGAGGCTCCGACTTGTTACAATAGCCAGGGAGCATCCACACCACATGAATGCTGATGTGGCATTTCCCAAAGTATTCTCTGAGAACTAGTTTCTCAAGATGCTCAAGGGAAAAGCCACCCAGTCTGGAACACTGCCAAGATTTTCCTGGTTCACAAGGTTCACAACAGACATTTGCAACGTCTGAACTTATTTAACCTCGGGACCTATTTATCCGATGACATTTGTTAATATCTTGAGTCCCTCGTGTTCTATAGAGCATCTTCTGGAAAGCACTGAGTATGTGCATCTGAAATCTTTATTAGGGTCTATGTTTCAGGGAATCCAGTAAAGTGAGTGAAATGTGCCTTCTGCCTCTATTGGTCTCCAACAGCATGAAATTTATAGTCTCCACCCTAACTTCCCAGGTGAAAGGAATGTTTTTGTGACACAGAATCTGGAGCTAACTCCTAAAATTAACATCTGTTCTCAGTGTCAGGTCTCTGGAGGTCTGTTCCATCCTCTTCCTTACCCAGCCAACTTCCACCATCTCCCCATTTCATTAATCACTTCCTTCAGGAAGCCTCACCTCCCCTCTACTTCCCACCAACCTAGCCTCCCTGCTACTTCCCACCAACCTAGCCTCCCCCGACCTGCCTGGAGTAACAGCCCCTCCTCAATACTTATCTCTACCAACATTCAAAAAATAAATGTAAAAAATACTTCTTCCTTATTTGCTTGGTGATGGGCACATAAAAGTAATGAAGAAATACTTGTGATTTAATCTCCAACTAGTATATTTGCTCTGTGAGGAAAGCATTATAACTCATCTTTTAGCTCTAGTAGCATGCAAGTACATAGTAGCTGCCCAATAAAAGCATTTCTTACACCAATACTTATTATGTATATTATACATACAGCCAGCTCCTAACATCTCCTCAGAAATCAAAATATTAACATTCAAATTAATTTGTATATTAATAGAAAGTGACTGGTTTATAAATAAGTGCTCTTCCTGTCTAATAAGTGAATATTAAATATACAAGAGATGTTCATCCTAAAGACATTACTTCACATTTGCTGTCTAGGCCATGATATTTTAACACAAAAGGAGATGGTTATTTGCCAATCACCATCTTCCGGTTTAAATCTGCATTAGGCTCCTCCTCCAGCTATAACAACAAGGGAGCCACCTTGTGTGCAAAAAGGTCTACAAGTCTCCATCCCTCAGGCTAAATTAAATAGGGTTCCACACACCCTTACAATGTCCAGCAACTCTGGAAAGATTCAGTTTTCTCTGACATTTTGAAGTAGAACTGTTATTATTCTAATTATAAAAAAAGTTGAATAAATAAGGCAAGCAATAGATGGAAGAAAATCCTTGCAAATGTTTTTCTTTGTGGAAAAAAAACTTATTTATTGCCTATGTGAGCTAGTAACCAGAATATAAACAGAACTCTCAAAACTTGCAAGAAAACAAATACAATTAGAAAACATGCAGACATGAATAAACATTTCATCAGAGATAATAGGCAGATGTCATATGAGAACATTAAATAAAGTTCAACATTATTATCCTTTAGAAAAATGTACATTAAAACAATGTGATATCAATACATATCAGTCAGTATGGCTAAGAGGATTTGAAAAAACAGAAATTCATTGATGATGGGAATGTAAAATGATAGTCACTCTGGATAACAGAGTGCTAGTTTCTATTAAAATTAAACTTGTAACTACCCTATGAGCCAGGAATTGTATGCTGGAAATATTTTCCAGAGTAATGAAAACATGTATTCATATGAAACCTAGTACATGAATGTACATAGCACTTTTATTCATAATAGCCACACACTGACTGAAAACAACAAATATGTTCTTGAAAGAGTGAAGGGTTACACACAGTATTTCATGGTAACATCCACACATGAAAACCCACAGCAATAACAAAAGGAACAAACTAAAACATAAACCAATTTAGATGAATCTCCAAGGAATTATGCTGAAGGAAAAGGGCCAATTACAAAAGGTTGCACAGGTTATGATTTCATTTATATAACATTATTGGAATGACAAATTTGCAGAAATAGAAATTAATGGTTTCAAAGAATCAGAATCAGAGTGGGTATGGTGGGGAGAAGGGAAGCGGATGTGGTTATAAGAGGAAAACGAGTTAATCTTCTGGTAGGTGAACCTACACATGTAATAAAATTGCACAGAACACACACACATAAGAAAAAATTAATCTGGTAAAATGCAAATAGATGAGTAGGTTAATTCTATTACTGTCAATATCTTAGTTTTGATATTTTTATAATCTTATATCTTACTATAGTTTTCTAGAGTTTTAAATAGTTTTATAATATGAATAACCAATCTATTCCCTCAGCAGTGCTTTCTACAAGGCCAAGTCTGAAGTACTTTCCATAGCTTATCTCATTTAGTTCTTGAAACAATCATATCATGTTAGGCTTCTTAGAACCCCAGTTCCAAAGAAGCAAACTGAAGCCCACAAATGTGAAGGGACTTTCCCAAGACACAGATAATAGGTGGCTGAGTCCCCCTTGTGCTGTGGAGGGATGGAGCACTTACCTTTTGGGCAGCAGGTCCAGGAGCTGTTGGGTGGGGGTGAACTCTCTCTAGGTGCACAGGAAGGAACATGAGGAGGTAAAAGAGGTGGCAGCTCTGGAAGGTGGGCACCACGGGCTCCTCCTGCTGCCCCACCACGCCTGCACTGATGGAGTCCACCTGCAGGTCTCATCCAGATTTAGGGCTGATTTATTTCCGCACTCAGAGGGATAAAGGGGGGCCAATTAAAACAATGAGCCCTAGCAAATGCAAAAACACTCATGGTCATAACATGAAGTGAAAGTAAAATATAAATAATTTTCCTAGATATTCTTACAAATATGTGAAAGCCGATTGTACACCTGAACAGTGCTGGGGTGAAATGGTGGGGCTGAAGGAAGGAAACAGACTCAGGGTCCCTTGGATTAAAACTGTGGGTCACTCAATAGGGAAAGCCAAGGCACAAAGTCCTGTGAGTCATCAAGGTGGAGTCCTGGCAGAAGGCCTTCTCAGCCATGTCTGGGCCCTGGTTATAGAGACCATCTCTACACCCACACCCCAATCGAGGCAGGAATGGCCATGACAGCATGGTACACCTGCCCCTCACCCAGGGAGATGAAGTGTCCATCAGTTCTTTGATGATGTTCTGTGTGGAGCTCTGCAAAGACAAACCAGCAGTTAATCTTGCACGCAACAGAGCCCTGCTTGGCTGACCTGGCCTCTTCTGTCGAGTCTTTCCATTCCCCAAATCAGGCACAGACCAGAGTCTACATAAACCTCCTGCCCTCTACTTTTTCTCCTAAATGCATGAAAGGCAGAGCTTTTCAACATGAATAATTTTAAGACATATAATATTCTCTAATATTCAGGAATAAAGAGGTTTCCTACTGATTATGTTTTTTGAGAATTTTATGCCCTGGTAGACCACAAATGAACAATCTTTGTCAACACCATTTTGTTAATTTGTGTTTTCAAACTATTTTAATTCCATCCTATCATTCATTCATTCATTTATTTATTTATTTAGAGATGGAGTCTCACATGTTGCCCAGGCTGAATTTACTTATTTAGAGATGGAGTCTCACTCTGCTGCCCAGGCTGCAGTGCAGTGACATGATCTTGGCTCACTGCAACCTCCACCTCTCAGGTTTAAGTGATTTTCCTGTCTCAGCCTCCCAAGTAGCTGGGATTACAGGAGCCCACCACCACACCCAGCTAATTTTTTGTATTTTTGGTAGAGAGAGGGTTTTACTAAGTTGGCTAGGCTAGTCTCGAACTCCTGACCTCAGGTGATCCACCCACCTGGGCCTCCCGAAGTGCTGGGATTACAGGCATTAGCCACTACGCCTGCCCCTGTCTTTCACTTTAAAGAGGCACAGATGCTGGAAACTACTACCCTTACTGAATGCAGAAAAAGCAAACATATAAATTTCAACATTTACAAGTCACATTTATGAATATATCTCTTATTTAGAGAATTACAATTTTAAACTATCAAAGGAAATGGTAAGGATACAAAATGTAGAGTACTTTTTAAAATAATAATAATTTATTCTCTATATGTTGTAAATTATTTTCTCATTACAAAACAACCTCACCTAAACTAATATACAACCAATTTTGTTAAGTTTAGCTTTTTTAATAAAACAATAAAACTAAATTAAGACAATATTTTAAAAATTCAATCCAAATTGGGGGAAAAAAGCTATATAGTGGTAATATTTTATATCTCATTGGAATTAATATAAATATAAAGCAGATTCTGATAAGGTATATAAGGGCTAGAGAAAACAAGGAAGTAACTTCAAAAACATGAACAATTATATAAATTAAAAGATTATATGGAAAGTAATAAGAAAGCAGTAAAGGAAGAATAAAGAAAAATACGTGAGACATAAAAATAGAAAGCAAAATGATGCAAATTCAACTATACTGATAATATTACAGGCTATAAATAGATTAAATAATCAAATCCATTATTTGGAGTTTATCAGAAGTATAGAAACTTCTATACTCCAATGTAAATAATGGGCAGAAAAAGTGGGAAGATCAACAGGAAAACATAACACTTGAACACTGTAAACAAATATGAACTGATAGAATTCTCAAATTTATAGAATTTTCCACTCAAAATTAGAAGTACACATAAATCATTCTCCAGGATAGACCATATGCTAGGCCATACAGCAGGAAAACGTCAATAAAATTAACAGGATCAAAATAATCCAAAGTATTTTCCCTGACTTTAGTAAAAGGAAATTAAAAATAAATGAATGCAGAAAATGGGGGGAACTCACAAATATATGGAAATTAAAAATACTCCTAATTAATGTGTTAAAGAAAAAATGAAACTGGAAAATATTTTCAGATAAATGAAAATGAAGTTATGACATATCGAAACATGAGATGCAGCAAACTGTTCAGAGAAATTCATAGCAGTAAACACCTACATTAAAAACAAACAATTTTAAATTAATAACCTAATGTTTGGTAAAAATAGCTAAGGGCTAATTAACTACTCAACACACCTTGGGGAACTTGTTAGAGTAACAAGTAATAACTTATGGAATCAACATTCTCCAAACTATTTGGAGTTTAATACCACTAAGGGTAAAAAAATGCTAAAGACAGCATGAACTAGACATACCCGATAGTATATCATTACCATTTACTACCTGGAATCTTGAGCAAGGTGGAATAAGTTAACATTTTTGTCAGGATAAGACATTATTCAATAAGCAACAGTGTTAACAAATTAAAAGACATTTCATTTTATTCTTAAAAAAAAATTAAGTTTACAGACTGAATAAAGCATTTCAAAATCCAGTTTCCTCAATCATCAAAATTACAGACTGCAAACATTCAAAAAGCATTCTTATTCTGATACCATGACCTATGTTAAAAAAATGTGTTCTCTCTTTTCTTAAACTGAGCCTAAGTATTTAGAGGATTGAATTAATAATCTATGTTCTACCAGAGAGAAGTTATTTGCACCACTCTCTGATATTTGTGATTTCTTTATTGTTATCACAGTAACATTCAGGACTTCTAACTTGCTGCTATGAAGATACATTAGAATATTAATGGACTAGCAAGACCTTTTAATGGGTAGTTGGTAAAACTATTCATATCTAAAACTCAGAGTGTTTCTGTCTCACACTTTAATGCAGAACAATAATATTCTGAACACCTAACTCATATATGACTTATATTCAGTGTTGTAAGTCAAACAAAAAGAGCAACTCCATTTAGATTTCATCATACATCCTATATGCCAATGCTCTTAGTCTTCCATGGGAAACTTGTGAATGACGTCATGAGACATGTGAATGATGACATGTGAATGAGACATGTGAATGATGCCTACCTAACGTAGAAGGGACTCTCATGTCAGAGACAGCAATAATCAACCACAGTGGGGAAAAAAAAGGTTAATTTGAATTTAATTACATCAATAATACTTTCTCAATCATGAATACTGTGATTACAAAAATAAGTGAACATTGAATATAATTATGCCTCTCCATCAATGTCGTCCCTCTTTTTAAACATACAATTTAATTATCTAATTGAGTTTGAATTATTTGTTATAATAAACACACTGATTCAGAGTAATTTACGGAAGTGCTAGCACCTTAGTTCTTTCTAAAGTGACACTTCTAATTTTTATTTAATCTTCATTTTGATGTTTCAAAAATCATTACACATATGGGATTTCTATCCAGTATTGATTTTCTAATGTTGAGTAAGGTGTGAGCACCAGTTTAGGGTTTTAGCACATTCTTTACACTTGCAGGGTTTCTACCTGGTATGAATTATTTGATGTTGAGTAAGGGTTGAGCGTCTGTTAAAAGCTTTGCCACATTCTTTACATTTGAAAGGTTTCTCTCCAGTATGAATTCTCTGATGTTGAGTAAGGTGTGAGCTCCTGGTAAAAGCTTTGCCACATTCTTTACATTTGAAGAATTTCTCTCCAGTATGGACTCTCTGATGTTGAGTAAGGTGTGAGCCCCAGATAAAAGCTTTGCCACATTCTTCACATTTGAAAGACTTCTCTCCAGTATGGATTCTTTGATGTCGAGTAAGGTGTGAGCCCCTGTTAAAGGCTTTGCCACATTCTTTACATTTGAAGTGTTTCTCTCCAGTATGGATTCTCTGATGTTGAGTAAGGTGTGAAGCTCTGTTAAAAGCTTTGCCACATTCCTTACACTTGAAAGGTTTCTCTCCAGTATGCATTCTCTGATGCTGAGTAACGTATGAGCTTCTATTAAAGGCTTTGCCACATTCCTTACATCTGAAAGGTTTCTCTCCGGTATGGATTCTCTGGTGTTGAGTAAGGTATGACCCCCTGTTAAAGGCTTTGCCACATTCTTCACATTTGAAAGCTCTCTCTCCAGTATGGATTCTCTGATGTTGAGTAAGGTATGAGCCTCTGTTAAAAGCTTTGCCACATTCCTTACACTTGAAAGGCTTCTCTCCAGTATGGATTCTCTGATGTTGAGCAAGGTGTGAACTCTTGTTAAAGGCTTTGTCACATTTTTTACATTTGTAAGGTTTCTCTCCAGTATGAATTTTCTGATGTCCAAGATGTAAGCCCCTGGTAAAAGCTTTGCCACGTTCTTTATATTTCACTGATTTTTCTCCAGTGTTAATTATCTTATGTCCCTTTAGATGTGATTGACTAAAGACTATTATACATTTTTTATTACATCTTTGTGAGCTCTCTCCAATATAAATTCTTTGATGTTGAGTAAGCTTTGAGAATGGGTCAGAAGTTTCACCACATTCATTAGAGTTGTAAGGCTTTTTTTGAATATGGATATTTTCAGGGAAAATAAGCTTTGAGGATTGGTAAAATACTTTTTCACATTCATTACAATTGTAATAGTTTTCTAGAAAATGAGTACTATGATGTTTACTAATATTTGAGTCATGGTTAAAATTTATCTGATTTTTATTACAAAAGACAGATTTCAAAAATTTATGTTGATATTTATTCATAGGAATACATGGTTCTGTAGGAGCAGCTGACAGAAACTGAGGCTTCTTCTGAAATATTCTATATTCTTTGTCTCCTTTCACAGTTAAATGTTTGTTATGACTAGTTGTCAAATATTGGCTACATAGATTATAACATTCCTTTTGTCCTTCACCTTCACCTATACTTTCCCAGTTTTTCCATAAGCATATATTTTCAAGGCCACAGCTCCCATATCTTCCCAGTGTTGCTTTTTTGAATGAATCTTGTATGCCTTGCTCTGGTAAAATGCCTTGGTTGTAATAAGAATACACAGCTGAAAGAAGTAAAAATAACTAATTATTCTACATACTGATTTCAGTTGAATATACTTTACAAATCTAATATGAAATTTTGCCAAGCTGAGAACATCAGCACAATGCCATAGTAGAAAACCAAGAAAGGACAGAGCAAGATGGCTAAATAGAAGGCTCCAGTGATCATTTCCCCTGCAAGGTCACCAATTTTACAATGATCTATTAAAAAAGAAAAAGAAAAAGAAAACCTTCATAAGAATAAAGGTGAGCACTCACAGTACCTGGTTTTAACCTTGTACTACTCACTAAAAGAGGGTAGGAAAGACCGTCTTGAATCACTAATGCCACCCCTCACTCATGCCCTGGCAGCTGTCACATACTATGTAGATAGAAGCTGTACACTTGGGAGATAGAGAACACTGGGATTGTGAGCACTGAACTCAGTGCTGCCCTATCACAGCAGAAAGCAAAACTGGAATGCACTCAGCTGACGCCTGCCCACAGAGGGAGTATTTCAACTGGCCCTGGGCAGAGAGGAATCACCCTTCCCGGTGATTGGAACTTGAGTTCTGGCAAGCCTCATCGACATAGTCTAAAATGCTCTGGGCCCTAAAAAACTTGAAAGGCAGTTTAGGTCACAAGGACTGCAACTCCCAGGTGAGTCCTAGTGCTGAACTGGGCTTAGAGCCAGTGGACTTGGGGGCCACATTACCTACTGAGATACAAACTGGTGCAGCTAAGAGAGTGCTTACACCACCCCTCCTCCAAACTAAGGCTGCACGGTTCACAGATTCAAGAGACCAAGTCCATCTACTTAAGAAGACAGAAAAGAGTAAACAGGACTTTGTCTTGCATTTTGGATACCAGCAAGGCCACCAGTCAGAGTTGTGAAACCCCTTTTCAGCCACTAGCTCCTAGTTAAAATTTCTAGGTACATGCTGGGCCAGAAAGAAATCTGCTGCCTTGAATGAAAAATTTTGGCACTGACAAGACCCATCAACTGCTAAGTAAAGAGCCCTCGACCTGGAATAATCTGCAGTGATAACCAGGTAGTTTGCTATGAGCTTTCATTGGGACTCTGAGGCTTGCTAGAATCAGGTGAGACTCAGCACATTCACAACTGTGGTGGCTACAGGGAGTCACTGAAAAGGGTAGAGGAAAAACTATAGAGGATTTCATCTTGCCAACTTAGGTCCCAGCATGGCCAAAGGGAGGAAGAGCATCAAGTGGGCTCTTGGGGTCCCTTATTCCAGGCCTTGGCACTTGGATGGCACTTCTGGACCTGCGCTGAGACAAAAGGGACACCACTGACAAAAAGGGTGAGTACCAGGCCAAGCATCATTCACTACAAGTGAACTAAAGAGCCTTGAATCTTAAGGGAACATTGGTGGTAGCCTGGCGGTATTCCCCATGGGCCTGTGGTGATGGTAGCAATGGGATGAGGCTCTTCTGCCTGTGGAATAAGGACGGAAAAATGGGAAGAACTGAATCTTACGGTTTAATTGCTAGCTCTACCACAGTACAACAGAAAACGAAGTAGACTCCTAAGGTTATTGACTAGCCCCTGGCTCCTGGATGGCACCGATGGGCTTGCCGAGAGCCTGAGGGAACTCACTACTCTGAAGGAAAGGATACAACGCTGGCAAGCCCTTTGTAGGATACCACCTACAAATTATAAAGCCCCAGGACCTTGAGCAATTACTGGTGGTACCAGGTAGTGGTTACAGCTCACCTTGGGTGTGATCAACTGCTGTGCTGGTTTCAGGTCTGACCCACTGCAGTCCTACTGATAGTGACAGAAGACAAACTCCTAGGCAGGCAGGGATGGGTCCTTGGTGAAACTCGACCTTCGAGGAAAGGACAGTCTAAAGCCTGAAAACTGAGCTACCAGTTCCAGGAAGAATTCATGGACTGGAGTGAGAACTTCCATCCCTAACCCACTCTCTCTATTAGTTCTTTGAGAATGATTCCTTTTAATCAATTGAATGGTGCCTTTTCCAAGTCCACCCATGAACCAGTCAGCATGCATTCCCCCATTCTAAACCCATAAAAATCCTGGACTCAGCCTCACAGATGGCTACCCACTTTCAGGTCCCCTCTTGCTGTTGATAGCAAGACAAGAAAACAACAAAATGGAAGGAGTAAATCTTTATATAATCAATAACAACACTGAATGTAAATCGACTAAACTCTCCAATCAAAAGACATAGAGTGGCTAAATGGATAAAAAAAAAAAAGACTGATTTGTTGCCTACAAGAAACACACTTCACCTATAAACACATAGATTAAAAAGATTTAAAAAATTCCATGTGAATGAAAACAAACAGAAAAAGCAGTAGTAGCTATACTTATATCAGACAAAATAGATTTCAAGACAAAACTATAAGAAGAGACAAAGACGGTTATCTATATAATGAGGGCTGGGCACAGTGGCTCATGCTTGTAATCTCAGCACTTTGGGAGGCCGAGGTGGGTGGATCACCTGAGGTTGGGAGTTTGAGACCAGCCTGATTAACATGGAGAAACCCCATCTCTACTAAAAATACAAAACAACAACAACAACAAAATTATCCGGGCATGGTGGCACATGCCTGTAATCCCAGCTACTCAGGAGGCTGAGACAGGAGAATCACTTGAACCTGGGAGGCAGAGGTTGCAGGGAGCCCAGATTGCACCATTGTACTCCAGCCTGGGCAACAAGAGCGAAACTCAGAGAAACTCCGTCTCAAAAAAAAAAAAAAAAAATAATAATGAGGTTAATTCATCAAGAAGATATAAGAATGTTACATACATATGCACCTAACACTGGAGTACTCAGATATATTAAGCCAGTATTATTAGAGCTAAAGAGACAGGCCCCAATATAATAATACCTAGAGACTGCAACACCCCACTTTCAGCATTGAATAAATCTTCCAGACAGAAAAACCAACGAAGAAATATCAGGCCTAATCTGTGCTATAAACCAAATGGACATAATGGATATTTACAGAACATTTTATCGAATGGCTTCAGAATACACATTTTTCTCTGCAGTGCATGAATCATTCTCATTGATAGACCATATGTTAGGTCACAAAACAAGTCTTAAAACATTTTAAAAATTAAAATAATATCAAGCATCTTTTCTGACTACAATGAAAAAACCTAGAAATTAATAACCAGAAAAAGTTTTGAAATTATATAAATACATAGAATTTAAACAATATGCTCCTGAAAGGCCAATGGGTCAATGAGGAAATTAATAAATGAATTGAAATATTTCTGAAATATGTGATCATGGAAATACATGAAAACTTAGGATATACAGTAAAAGCAGTACTAAAAGTTTATAACTAAAAGTGTCTACATAAAAAACTCAAATAAACAACTTCATGACAGATTTACTGAAATTTCCATGAAAATACCATCAGTATTCTTCACAGAACTATAAAAAACAATCCTAAAATTAATGTGGATCAAAAAAGAGCCTACGTAGCCAAAGTAATACTAACCAAAACAAAATAAATAAAAAATCTGGAGGCATCACATTACCCTACTTCAAATTATACTACAAAGCTATAGCTACCAAAACAGCATGGTATTGCTATTAAAATAGACACATAGACCAATGAAGCATAATAGAGAATCCAGAAATTAAGCCAAATACAGGCAACTCATCTTAACTAATAATCAACAAGGCATACAAATAAACAAATTGAGGAAACAACACCCTATTCAATAAACGGTGCTAGGAAAACTGGCAAGCCACACATAGAAGAATAAAACTGGATCCCCCATCTCTGACCGTATACAAAAATCAATTCAAGATGGATCAAAGATTTAAATCTAAGGCCTGAAAGCATACAAATTCTAAAAGGTAACATATAAAAAAACTCTTCTGGACATTGACTTAGGCAAAAAATTCATGACTAAGACCCCAAAAGCAAATGCAACAAAAACAAACATAAACAAATGGGACCTTATTAAACTAAAAAGCTTCTGCACAGCAAAAGAAATAATCAGCAGAGTACATAGACAACCCACAGAGTAGCAGAAAATATTTGCAAACTACGCACAAAAAGCTAGTATCCAGAATCTATACAGAACTCAAATAAATTAGCCAAATAATAATAATTCCATCAAAAAGTAGGCAGAGAAAATGAATATATATTTGTCAAAAGAAGACATACGAACACCGAACAATAATCTAAAAATGCTCAACATCACTAATCAGAGAAATACAAATGAAAACCACAATTAGATACCAACTTACTCCTACAAAAATAGCCATAATTCAAAAGTCAAGAAAACAACAGATGTTGGCATGGTTGTGGTGAAATGGGAACACTTAACAAATAAAATGTCATTTGCAGCAACTTGGATGGAGCTGAAGGCTATTATTCTAAGTGAAGTAACTCAGAAATGGAAAACTAGATATTGTATATTCTTATAAGTGAGAGCTAATCTACGAGGATGCAAAGGCATAAGAGTAATGTAATAGACTTTGGGGACTTGAGGGGGAAGGCTGGGAGGCGGGTGAGGGATAAAAGCTACATATTAAGTACAGTGTACACTGCTCGGGTGACAGGTGCACTAAAATCTCAGAAATTACACTAAAGAACTTATCTGTGTCACGAAAAACCACCTGTATTTCCAAAACCATTGAAAAAACCTAATGATGTATCTAGCAAACAAAGCCAAAATTAGAAGAAAAGAAATAATAAAGATCAAAGCAGAAATAAATGAATTTGAAATAAATAAAATACAAAAGGTCAATAAAATGCAAAGTTGTTTTCTAAAAAAAAAAAAAAAAAAACCTTTAGCCAGACTAAGAAAAAAAAAGAAAACTCAGCCAGGCACAGTGGCTCATGCCTGTAATCCCGGCACTTTAGGAGGCTAAGGCAGGGGGATCACCTGAAGTCAGGAGTTTAAGACCAGCCTGTCCAACATGGCGAAACCCCGTCTCTACTAAAAAATATAAAAATTAGCTGGGCACGGTGGCAGGCACCTGTAATCCCACCTACTTGGGAGGCTGAGGCAGGTAGAATTGCTGGAAGTCAGGAGAAGGAGGTTGCAGTGAGCCAAGATCAAGCCACTGCACCCCAGCCTGGGCGACAGAGTGAGACTCCTACTCAAAAAAAAGAAAAAAAAAAAAAAAGAAAGAAAGAAAAGAAAAAAGAAAAAAAGACTCAAATAAATAATAACAAAGATGAAAAAGGAGACATTTCAACTCTACAACTTATACTGCAGGAATTCAAGATCATTAGTGGCTGCTATGAGCAGATAGATGCCATAAATTGGAAAATCTAGAACAAATGGATAAATTTCTAGACACATAGAACCTAACAAGATTGAACTGTTAAGAAATCCAGAACCTGAATAGACAAACAAGACATGTTGAGATCCATAATAAAAAACCTCCTATGAGAGAAAAGCCTGAAATCTGATGGCTTCACTGAATTCGACCAAACATGTATAAAACTAATAGCAATCTGACTTAAACTATTCCAAAACAGAGGAGGAGGAAACACTTCCAACCTTGTTCTGTAAGGCAAGCATTACTCTCATACTAAAACCAGACAAACGCCTATCAAAAAAATCTATAGGCCAATATCAGCAATAGATGCAAAATTTCTAATAAAAATACTGGCAAGTAAAATTCAGCAACATATTAAAAAGATTATTATAGATGTAAAATTTCTAATAAAAATACTGGCAAGTAAAATTCAGCAACAGATTAAAAAGATTATTATACCTCATGATCAAGTAGGATTTATCTCAGGGATGCAAAGATACTTCAACATATGCAAATCAATTAATGTAATACATCATATCAACAAAAGAAAGAACAAAAACCAAGATCATTTTGATCCTGAAAATCATTTGATAAAATTTAATATCCCCTCATGACAGAAACCCTCAAAACTATAGAAGAAACATACCTCAACATATAAAAAGCTATATATGACACTCACATTATATGATACTAAATGGGGAAAAATGAAAAGCTTTTCCTAAGATTGAGAACATGACAAGGATGCACACTTTCACCACTGTTATTTCAACATATGGCAGCTAGAGCAATTAGACAAGAGAAAAAAATAAAGGGCAACCAAATTGGAAAGGAAGAAGTCAAATTAGCTTTGCTTGCAGATGATGTGCTCTTATATTTGGAAAATCCTAATTCACTAAAACACTATTAGAACTCATAAATTTAGTCAAGATATAGGATTAAAAAGCTAGCAGCATTTTTATATACCAACAGTGAACAATGTGAAAAAGAAATGAAGAGAGTAATCCCATTTACGATAGCCACAAATTAAAATAAAATACCTAGGAATTAACCAAAGAAATTAAAGATCTGTACAATGAACACTATAAAACATTGATGCAAGAAATTTAAAAAGACAAAAAAGAAAATATATTTTTTGTTCATAAGAAAAATCAGTATTTTTAGTGTCTATACTACCCAATCCAATCTACAGACTTAATGCAACCCTATCAAAACATCAATGATATTCTTCACAGAAATAGGAAAAACAATCCTATAAAGTGGACAGAACCAAAAAAGACTCAGAAGAGCCAAAGGTCTTGCAAGAAAAAATTTTGCCTTTATGTGGCTGGCTTATTTTTCTTAACATATGACCTCCAGTTCCATCCATGTTGTTGCCAACAACAGGATCTTATTATTTATAAGTGAAAAGTACTCCTTTGTGTATATGTACATTGGCTTTATCCATTCATCTGTTTTTGATAGACACTTTGGTTACTTCCAAATCTTGGCTAATGTAAACAATGCTGTGTGAAAGGAAAATAAATCTTTGAACCCCCAAATCACTAAGCTAAAGGGACAAGTCAAGCTGGGAACCGCTTAGGGCAAATCTGCCTCCCATTCTATTCAGTCATCCCTCTGCTCACTGAGATAAATGCATACCTGATTGCCTCCTTTGGAAAGGCTAGTCAGAAACTCAAAAGAATGCAACCGTTTGTCTCCCACCTACCCATGACCTGGAAACTCCCTCCCTGCTTTGAGTTGTCCCACCTTTCCAGACTGAACCAACGTACAACTTACACATACTGAAGTCTCATGTCTCCCTAAAATGTATAAAACCAAGCTGTGCCCTGACCTCTTGAGGCTGTGTCATAGGTGTGCATCCTTCACTTTGGTAAAATAAACTACTTAAATTGGATGAGACCTGTCTCAGATATTTTGTGTTCACAGCTACAATAAAAATGGAGGTGCAAATCTCTCTCTGATGTCCTGATTTCCCTTGTGTACATACCTAGGATTGGGGTTGCTAGGTAGTATAGTAGCTCTATTTTTTTTTTTTTTTGAGGAACTCTAAACTGTTCTCCATAGTAGCTGTAATAATTTACATCCCCACCAAGAGAGTACTAGAGTTCCCTTTTCTCCACATACTCACCAGCATTTGTTATTGCCTGACTTTTGGAGAACAGCCATTGTAACTGGGATGAGATAACATCTCACTGTCATTTTGATTTGCATTTCTCTGATGACCACATGTTGAGCACCTTGTCACATGCACTGTTATTCGTATGCCCTCTTTAGAGAAATGTCTATTCACATTTTTTGCTCATTTTTAATCAGATTATTAAATTTTATCCTATAGAGTTGTTTGTGTGCCTTACATAATCTGGTTATCAATTTTTTTTCTGATGGGCCATTTGCAAATATTTTCTTCCATTTGGTATGTTGTCTCTTCACTTTGTTGATTGTTTCACTTGCTGTTTAAAAGTTCTTTAACTTGATGTGATTCCATTTGTCCATTTTTGCTTTGGTTGCCTGTGCCTGCAGGGTATTATTCAAGACATCTTTACCCCATTTAATTTCCTGGTGAGTTTCTACAATGTTTTCTTAATAGTACTTTCATAGTTTTGGGTCTTAGTTAAGTCTCTAATCCATTTTGATTTAACTTTTTAATACAGCAAGAGATAGGGGTCTAGTTTCATTCTTCTGAATATGGATATTTAGTTTCTGTAGCATAATTTAGACAATAAATTCCTTTCCTCAATATATATTCTTGAAACCTTTGTCGAAAATAGGTTTGCTATAGCTATATGGATTTATCTCTGCGTTCTCTCTACTGTTTCACTGATCAATACCATGCTGTTTTAATTACTATAGCTCTGTAGTATCATTTACAGTCAAATACTATGTTTCCTCCAGTTTCTTTTGCATGTTCTCACACATTTGCTGGAGCTAAAAATTAAATTAATTCAGTTCATGGAGGGAGAGAGCAGAATTGTTACCAGAGGCTGGAAAGTATAGTGGGGGGTTGGTGGGAAGTGGGGAAGGTTAATGAGCACAAAAATAATTAGAATAAGATTTAGTAGTTGCTAGTACAACAGAGTAACTATAGTCAAAAGCAATTTAATTGTATATTTTTAAATAACAAAAGGAACGTAATTAGATTGTAAACAAAGGATTAAATACTTGAAGTAATGAATACACCATTTACCCTGATGTGATTTTTATGCATTTCATGGCTACTTCAAAATATCTCATGTAACCCATAGATATATATAGCTACTACTATGTACTCACAAAAATTAAAAAATAAAATTTAAAAGTAAAAAATATATATAAATTTAAGTTGCAAAGCTTAAAAAAAGACCACTGGTCTTCATTTCTTCATAGATATATGCACTTAACACCACGTTGATCACATTGCCTTTGTGGGAATTCCAAAACACAGTTAAGAATTTGTACTACTTCAGTTGCTGTAGCTTTATCCATTCCAAAAGCATGTAGAAGAGAAGGAAAATTTTATTACATGTGCCCAGCACAGCTTTATCTTCTCCCAGTACAGCATGGTACAACCAGGAGAAACTCCCAACTCTATGTTTCTTCCTCAGGAGAGAAAGAAGTGTGGAGTATGTGTCCACATCTCTGGTTTCCGAGGGGCTATCCAAAGATGGGGTTTGGCTCCCCTGACAGAGTGCTGAAGGAAATGGTGGTATACTCTGGATGATGGCTATACATATTTTACATCAATATAAGAAGCAATCCTAAAAATTATATCAGAACTAAAGAGACCACAAGTGTTCAACAATTGTCAAAAAGAGAAATATTGGAGGCATACACCCTGATTTTAAAAACCTATTATAAAGTTATATTAATCAAAATAGTTTATAACCGGATTAAAAAGAGACAATACCAGTGAAACAGAACAGAGCACATCAATAATCCCTTGCATATATTATCAAATGAAGAGTAATCTGCACATCCATATTCACTGTAGTATTATTTACAGAAGCAAGTAAGTGGAAAGAACCAACTTAATAAATGAATAAAGACAATTTCAAATATACAAATAAATAATATTCAGGTTTTTAAAAGCAGAAAATGTTGTTATATTCACAATAAATACATTTTTTAAGACTTTATGTGCAAAAAGCCAGGCACAAAAAGACAAATACTATACAATTTTACTTATGTAAGATACCTAAAGTAGTTAAACTCCTAGAAACAGAAAACAGACTGAACTGTGTCAGGGGCTAAGTGGAGAAAATGGGTAGTTGTTGTTTCATGGACAACCTGTTAGGACACAAAGCAACTCTTATTCTTTTTAACTTTTAAGTTTGGGGTTATATGTACAGGTTTGTTATATAGGTAAACTTGTGTCATGTGGGTTTGTTGTACAGATTATTTTTTCACCAAGGTATTAAGCCTAGTACACACTAAAGATTGAATCATATAATGTATCCTTTCTTACCACATGGAATAAAACTAGAAATCAAAAGCAGAAGCAAAATTGCCAAATTGAAAAATCTGTGAAACTTAACAAACTCTTTAAGATACTCTTCTTTAAGTGTCAGGAGATTTAATATTGTTAAATGACAATAGTATCCCCAGTGATATTCAAATTCAATGTAGTCTCAATGAAAATCCAAAAGATATTTTTTGAAGAAATATATTTTTAAATTATTACATTTACACAGAATTTCAAAGGACCATTGATGGCCCAAACATTCTTAGAAAAAAAGAACAAAATTAGAGGCACCACACTTCCTGTTTTTAGAATAGATTACAAAGCTACATAAATAAAAACAGTGCGGTACTTGCAGGAAGACAGATGATGGAACAGAATGGAGAACTCAAAAACAAAGCATTGTGTATATGGTCAAATGATCTTCAACAAGGTTACTATAACAACATATTAAGGAAAAGATAGTCTCTTCAATAAATGGTGTTGGAAAACTCTATATCCACATGGGAAAAATTGAGGTTGGATCCTTCCCCTAAACCATACACAAAAACTGTCTTGAATGAGTTAAATATTTAAATGTAAGAATTATAACTCTACAATTTTTGGAGGAAAATATAGGGTGACTGGGTGTGGTGGCTCACACCTGTAATCCTAGCACTTTGGGAGCCCAAGGCAGGCAGATTACTTGAGGTCAGGAGTTCAAAACCAGCCTGACCAACAGGGTGAAACCCTGTCTCTACTAAAAATATTTTTAAAAATTAGCCAGGTGTGGTGGTACATGCCTGTAATCCCACCTACTCAGGAGGCTGAGGCAGGAGAATCGCTTGAACCCAGGAGGGGAAGGTTGCAGTGAACCAAGATCATGCCATTGCACTCCAGCATGGGCAACGAGAGCAAAACTCCATCTCAAAATAATAATAATATAGGGAGAAAGATTATGACATTGGTCTCAGCAATGTTTTCTTGCATATAACATCAAATACATGAGCAACAAATTTAAAAACACAGAAAAATGGGACTACATTAAATTTATCTCTGCACGCTAAACATTTAGTGAAGTAAGCAGAAGAAGAAAAAAAAATTGTATGTTTGACAGAAGTTAACACCCAGAATATATAAACTTTGAAAAATCAACAACAAAGAGTAAGTAACATGATTAACAAATGGACAAGAGATTAAAATGTTTCTCCAAAGATGAAATAATACACATAGCAATTACTGAAAACATTTCTAGTCTTTAGAAAAATGTAAAGCAAAACCACAATGAGATACTATTGTGCATTAATTAGGATGGCCAATATCAAGCAAACAAAAAATAACAAATGTTGTCAAGAGCATAGAGGAATTGAAACCCTTGTGCACTGCTGGTAGGGAAAAAGTGACTTCTGGGCATCTAATCAAAATATGCAGAGTATACTTGAAAGAAATATTTGCACATCCATGTTCATTGCAGCAATATTCACTGTATTCGTTTATTATTGCACTGCTATAAATACCTGAGACTGGGTATTTTAAAAAAAAGAGGTTTAATTGGCTCATGGTTATGCAGGCTGTACAGGAAGCATAGCAGCTTCTGCTTCTGTGTCGGCCTCAAAAAGCTTCCAATCACAGCAGAAAGCAAAGAGGGAGTGAGTCATCTCACATGGTGGGAGCAGGAGCAAGACAGAGTGAGGGTGGGGGTGCCACATGATTTTTAAAAATAAGATCTCAGGAGAACTTACTACAGCACAGACAGTACCAAAGGGAATGGTGTTAAACCATTCATGAGAAACCAACTCTATGATCCAATCACCTCCCACCAGGCCCCACCTCCAACATTAGAAACTGCAATCTTAGATGAGATTTAAATGGGAACCCAGATCCAAAATATATCATTTACAAAAGACAAAAAGTGAAAAAACGCAAATGTTCTTCAATGAATAGGTAATTTTTAAAGATGTGCCTTATATATACAATGAAATATTCTTTTTTTTGAGACAGAGTCTCGCTCTGTCGTCCAGGCTGGAGTGCAGTGGCATGGCCTCGGCTCACTGCAAGCTCTGCCTCCTGGGTTCATACCATTCTCCTGCCTCAGCCTCCTGAGTAGCTGGGACTACAGGTGCCCGCCACCACGCCCAGCTAATTTTTTTTATTTTTAATAGAGCCGGGGTTTCACCATGTTAGCCAGGATGGTCTCAATCTCCTGACCTCGTGATCCACCTGCCTCGGCCTACCAAAGTGCTGGGATTACAGGGGTGAGCCACTGCGCCTGGCCACAATGAATTATTCTTTAGCCTCAAATGAAAATATCTTGTCAGATGCTACAATAAGAATAAATCTTTAAGCCATTATTTTAAGTGAAATAAGACACTAATGAAGTGACAGTATATGATTCCACTTACATAAGACATCTTATGTCATAAACTTACAGAAACAGGCAGTAGAAAGATGACTGCCTATGGTTGGGGTTGTGAAACCTTTGTGGAGCCAAAGATCAAGGAGGGTCATTTGGAAAAAGCAGGCCCTCACCCAGGTGGCAAACTGAAGAGCCCATGGACATGGCTACAGACAAGGAAATGGCGCACCGAACTTGGTCTTACTGAGGATCCTGAAGCAGTTCTGCAACCTGTCTCAAACTCCTCTCAGCTATAGTTCAGAAATAGTCCTCCTATCAAGAGAGATGCAGGAAGACACACCCAGCCATGGCCCTAGAGGCAGGCCTGTAGATCTTGGCCTCAGCTGTGGTCCCGGAAGCAGCCCTGTAACTCAGTTCTAGCCCTCACAGCCACAGTCCATGGCCAGTTATAGGCACCCAGTTAGAGACCTGTGAAAACTGCTTCAAGGTAGCTAGTAGAAGACAAACCCATTCATACACCTGGTATATGGCTCATCATATGCAGACAAATTTCAAAACCCTACCCTAGTGCCTGCTGTATAGATTAATGTCCACAAGGAAATCTCTACCCTAGTGCCTGCCATATAGATTAATGTCCTAAAGGAAATCTAATCTTTCCAGGTCCCAAAAAGAATCCATGACTATCCTAATCTCTGGTAACAGGACCATCAAAGGCAGACCCCACAGTGACCCAGCAGCACCCTTGTGACCCAGCTTTACAACGCTTCTTCTCTGCAACCCCAGAGGTAACCTCATCAGCCTGGGAACCCAACAAAAGGAGATCTTTACCTGCCAAAAACAGTTTACAGAAACTGTAACCATTGTTAGATCCTTCAAATGTACAGAAACAGGGCTGCTTCAGGGACCACAGCTGAGGTCACGGTCTGTAGGTCTGCCTCCAGGGCCATGGGTAGTTATACTGTGCCACTATCAATGCTTCTACCTTAACATATTACTGAAAGTTTGTATCAGAACAATTAGGCAAGGAAAGAACAAGGCTCTCCCGTTTGGAAAAGAAGTAAAAATGTTACTGTTTGTAGATGATATGATCATACATATGTATATAAAACCTTAGAGTACAACAACAAAAACTGTTTGAACTAATAAATGCATTTATTAAAGTATCAGGATAATCAACATACAAATACTTCTGGGGTTTTTTGAGACAGGGTGTCACTCTGTTGCCCAGGCTCACCTCAAACTGCTGGGCTCAAATGATCCACCTGCCTCAGCCTCTGAAAGCACTGAGATTACAGAAATGCAGCACTGCACCAGGCTCAGCATACAAATATTTGTTGCATTTCCATACAGTAACAACAAACTTTCCACAAAAAAAGAAACAATTTTTATTTACAATTGTATAAAAGAAGTTTAATCAAAATAAATTTAACTGATGATATAAAAAATTTATACATTAAATACAGTAAGATATTGATGACAGACATTAAAGTAGACCCAAATAAATAGAAACATATTCCATTGGATAATTAATACTGTCAAAGTACCATATTATCCAAAGTAATCTACGGATTTAAAGTTTTAGTGGAATTTTCAACAGTAATAGAAAATAAAATTGTAAAATTTAAGTGTAACCTAAAACAACTTGAAATAACCTGAGCAATATTGAAAAAGAACAAAGCTGGGGGCATCATACTTTCTAATTTCAAACTTTATTTAAAGGTTATAGTAATGAAAAGAGTGTGGTATGTGCATAAAAACAGATACAAAAACCAATGGAACATAATAGAGAGCCCAGAAGCAATCCATGCATACAAGGTCAACTAATCTTTGACAAGAGCACCAAGAATATACAATGCAGAAAGTATAGTCTTGTCAATACACGGTGCCAGAAAAACTAGATATCCACAAGCAAAAGAATATAATTAGATTATTTTCTTTGACCATACCCTAAAATTAACTAAAAATAAAAGACTTACATGTAAGACATAAAACCTTAAAACTCCTGAAGAAAACATATTGGAAAACCTTGTTGATATTGGTCTTGGCAACAGCTTTTTGCATATAACACCAAAAGCATAACATTGAAAGAAAATATAAACAAGTGGGACTGCATCAAAGTAAACAGCTTCTGCACAGGAAAGGAAAAAAAAATTTTTTTAAACCTTACAGGACAGAAAAATATTTGCAAGCCATGTATAAGAAGTTAATATCCAAAATGTGTAAGAAACTTCTGCAATTCAAAGCAAAACAATGATGATGATAACCTATTCAAAAATAGACAAAAGATTATTTTTCCCCAAAGAAGACATACATACAAGGGAAATCCTGTATGTTGTCAGTGAGATGTAAATTGATACAGTCATCATAAAAACCAATAAAAATAAAAATAGAAGTATCATATAATCCAGTAATATCACTTCTAGGCATACTACTACCAAAGGAAATAAAATTAGCACCTTGAAGAAGTATCTTCAGCCCCCATGTTCGTTGTAGTATTGTTTACAACAGACAAAATATGGTGTGTGTGTGTGTACATACACACACACAGAGAAGAATACTATTCAGCCATAAGAGAAGGAAATCTAGCCATTTACAACATGGATACACCTGGAGGACATTATGCTAAATGAAATAAGGCAAACACAGAAAGACAAACTGTATGTTCTCAATTAGATGGGGAATCTAAAAATGTAAACTCATAGAAGCAGAGAGTAGAAGGGTGGTTGTTAGTGCCTGAGGGTGGGAATATGAGATGTTGTTCAAAGAATACAAATTTAGTTACAAATTGAGCAAGTCTGAGAAATCTAATGTACATTAGCATTAGATTAGCCAGATAGCATTGTTTATAGTAAGTAATACTGTAACATATGCTTAAAATTTGCCACAACAGTAGACCTTAAGTATACTTACTATAAAAAAAAAAGGTTATCCATGTAAGGTAATAGATGTGTTCATCAACTTGACTATATTTTATTTCACAACGTATACACATATCAAATCATTACATTGTACACATTAAATATATAGTTATACAATTTTTATTTATCTGAAAAATCCATGCCACACAAACACAGTCATAGAGTAAGTCCTCACTTAATGTTCAAAATAGGTTCTTGAAAACTGTGGGCTTTTTTTTAAATGAAACAACACTGCTATATGCCATTCAAATACCTTTCTTTTGTATCAGTTAAACTATGGTAAAATTCATTTTCTTAAACAATATGTTGCTTCACTTACAGTTACAGCTTCTAAGAACTATCAACATTAAGAACTGAGTATACACATATACGATTTATATAGGTATGTGTATGTGTATCACTTTACACATTTATACATATAGATATATCTCAATGACACAGTCCCAGCAGGCTCCCTACTAAATAAGACAAAATTATAAGATAATAGTTATTAAAAAATAAGATAATAGATGGCTTAATATTTGCTTAGCAATGTTCTAAGCTCATTAATGACACAGGGCATTTAAAAAATCTAGAAGGTGAGTAGATACTTTTAATCAGTGGTGTCCAACCAGCTCTTTGAATGAGAGGACTTTTTGCTTATCTGTGGTGACGAATATCATGAAAACTGCATGAACCTTTTTTCTTTTTAGCACATCAGCTATCATTAGTGTTCGTGTATTTTATGTGTGGCCCAAGACAATGTTTCTTCTTCCAATGTGACCCGGGGAAGCCAAAAGGTTGGACACTCATTCTTTGAACTATAATTTGAAAATCTGCACATATAGAGTTTAAATTACAAATCTCAATTTATTCTAAAGCAGTAACACTTTGAGGTAAAATAACATTACATTTTTTCATATTTAGAAAAATGCTTATTGTTCTGATAAAATTGCTGAGTAAGGATTTTTGTAGAATCACATTTGCAACCTCTACAGGATTAAAAATTATTAAGCGGAAAAGATGCAACATCTGTCCCTGGTGTTGCTGGGATTTCTGAACCAAATCCCAGTATGTCCCCTACTCACCTTACACATTTTAGACATGATGCAAAAAGAATATCTGAAAAAGATACTTTAACATAGAACTCCTCAAAAATACAAATATTCCTATGTATCCAAAACCAATGGAAAAGCAGACAGATCATGCAGCCCTTTATAAGTGATAAAGGGGACATTGGGTCTCACTGTAAACTTGAAGGGAGATCACTAAAGAAAAAAAAAAATTCTTAGAAAATTTAAGAGCATGAGACAGAAGATGTCCCTATCTGTGAATATGAAAACAAAACAAAACAAAAAACACAACCTTTTCAGAAATTATTTTCATTGGAGCAAAGATTCCCAAACTACATTTTTTTTTCTTTTTGAAAATTCACATTTCCAAGTGATTTTTTTTTTATTATACTTTAAGTTCTAGGGTGCATGTGCACAACATGCAGGTTTGTTACATACGTATACATGTGCCATGTTGGTGTGCTGCACCCATTAACTCATCATTTACATTAGGTATATCTCCTAATGTTATCCCTCCCCCCTCCCCCCACCCCACGACAGGCCCCGGTGTGTGATGTTCCCCTTCCTGTGTCCATGTGTTCTCATTGTTCAATTCCCACCTATGAGTGAGAACATGTGGTGCCTAAACTACATTTTAAGGCCTGGCTTCCTTCTTGACCTTTGGTCCCCTTGCCTGTGTCATCTCCTTCATTCACCCTCACTTACTTGGGGGTTTGGCTACTGTCTCATCTATCTTCAAATTGTAAGGCTCTTTTCTTTGCTCCAGACAGGTGACCAGGTCTGGTTAGAGATAGCAACACTTGTTTTATTAAAAAAAAAAAAAAAAAAAATCAACATGACTGTTGCTGGGGATTCTCCAATTACCAACCTAGTACTATGCTAAGCAGAAAAGAGAAATTACAAATGATTCTAGAAAATTAATCCAAAACTTGTTTCCTGACAGAATCTTTAGAATATTTAAGTATTTTAAATCTGCGGGTTCTAAGTTCCACTACCCAGTACTATCGAATCAAAAATAACTGGTACAGGGCCAGGAATGGTGGCTCACGCCTGTAATCTCAATACTTTGAGAGGCCGAGGCAGGAGGACTGCCTGAGCTCAGGAGTTCAAGATCAGCCTGGGCAACATGGCAAAACCCTGTCTCTACTAAAATACAAAAAATTAGCCAGGCGTGGTGGTGCATGTCTGTAGTCTCAGCTACCCGGGAGGCTGAGGCAGAAGTGCTTGAACCCAGAAGGCAGAGGTTGCAGTGAACCAAGACTGTGCCACTGCACTCCAGCTTGGGTGACAAAGCAAGACTCCGTTTGCAAAATACATAAATAAATAAATAAGTGGTACAAAATGAATGTAAAGGTGTGGGAAACAATATTTTATGTCATTCAATTTCTAAAACTACCACTAATCTAGAGTAAAGGAAACAAATTAGCTCAAAAAAAGAGAAGGTTTATGTAAAGATGAATCATCATAAAGATTTTCTTTTTGGCTGGGCATGGTGGCTTACACCTGTAATCCTAGCACTTTGGGAGGCCCAGGCGGGTGGATCACCTGAGGTCAGGAGTTCGAGACCAGCCTGGCCAACATGGTGAAACCTTGTCTCTACTAAAAATACAAAAAATTAGCCAGACGTGGTGGTGGGCGCCTGTAATCCCAGCTATTCGGGAGGTTGAGGCAGGAGAATCACTTGAACCCAGGAGGTGGAGGTTGCAGTGAGCCAAGATCGCGCCATTGCACTCCAGCCTGGGTAACAAGAGCGAAACTCTGTCTCAATTAAAAAAAAAAAAAAAAGATTTTCTTTTTTACACTAGCAAACTCCCATTTTTTCTTGAAGAAAAGAACTGAAATTAATTCATGCAAAGCAGAAGCTCTCAAGAGACAGTCTACAAAGAAAGAAAATAAAACTCTGAGGGAGAATTAGGAATTATGTATTGAAGTTATTCTCACCCAGGGAGACGAGGTTTCTGTAGTTCTCCAACATCACATCTCTATATAAATTCTGTTGGGCAGGGTCTAGGCATTTCCACTCTTCTGGAGAGAATTCTATGGCCACATCCCTGAATGTTAAGAGTTCCTGGAAACACATATATCAAGTGACAGAGCTCTTAATTTGACTAGAGATGAAATGAGTTAAAATAACTAGTTCTGACTTATGTGGCTGACTAGGATTATCTGATAAAATAACTTTTAACACAGTAATGTTCTCTAAAGCATTCTATAACTCTGAGGGAAAAGGATGCCAGCAAGCAATTTCTGCTGCTGCAATGGAAATATGAGCTGCACTGACCTACCCCTACCAAAACCAAGCAGAGCAGGCCCTGTGACCTCCTTCTGGAACAACGGGTGAACTCACCTCTCATTAAAGTATCTGGAAGCCCTCATGTTTGACCCTGGCCTCACTGCAGAATCATGCGAGGAACTTAATTTAAAAAACAGGGATGTTTTCACCTAGAACAATAGACAGGATCTCTGGGGAGGGCACAGGTGATGGTCTCTCTTCAAACTCTCCATGTGATCCTATTGAAAGACTGCACTGAGAGGCACTTAACTAAGCACTGCCTCTCAAGCTTCAATGTGCATATAAATTATTTGGTATTCTAGGCCTCACTGTTACAAAATTTTGCAGGTTTAAAAAGGGTCCATGAATTAGCTTCTTATAACAAGTCTCCTGTTAATGCTGATATTCCTCCTCGTAGACTCATTATAGTACCACTCAGCTAGAGAAAGCAGGCACACACAGAATCCCTTATCCCAACACCCTTATCACAACACACATATCCTTCATCCAAAGAAAAGACCACCAATCATCAGCCTGAAACTTGGCATTCTCTGCAGGCCCTTTTACATAGTTTACAAAGGCAGGAGATAATGGCAATGTCTGAATAAGTCTGCAGTTGAAAAACATGTGCACAAGCATTAATGCAATGTTTATGGAGCATGTACTATGTGCCCAAGAGTATGTCACAGAGCACTGTGCTGGGAAGCTCACATTATGTGTTAATTCTCATAACAGGTTTCTGTAGAGGTGGGTACTAATTGTCCCACACTTCCCAGGATTTAAATGCAGGGCCTGCCATTTCTATTTCTTCTGTTTTCCTATCATTGATTTTAAAAATAAAATGTATAGAATAATAGCTCATTTTAGACAGATGGAGAGATACGGAAAGGAACTGTTAACTGCAATTCAGTGTTTGTATTTACTTTGAGACTTGTGAAGAAATCATTGAAACTGCAGGAATGGAGAACAGGTTGCTGGATGGGATGTCTCTAGAAACACTGGTTTTAATTTTTTTTTTTTTAAGACTGAGTTTCGCTCTTATTGCCCAGGCTGGAGTGCAATGGTGCGATCTTGGCTCACTGCAACCTCCGCCTCCCAGGTCCAAGCAATTCTCCTGCCTCAACCTCCCAAATAGCTGGGATTACGGGTGCCCACCACCGCACCCAGCTAATTTTTAGTATTTTTAGTACAGCCGGGGTTTCATCATGTTGGCCAGGCTGGTCTTGCACTCCTGACCTCAAGTGATCTGCCCGCCTTGGCCTCCCAAAGTGCTGGGATTACAGGCATGAGCCACCGCACCCGGCCTAATTTTTTAAAAAAGAATTTAAGGCCCCAAAGTATATAGTTTTTCCCCTTTTATCTCCTTTTGGGTTTCAGGAAATTGTGAGCACCAGCTGTGGAGAGGCAGTAGGGGTAGTCACTCCAAACTCTGATCTCCTCTAGGCAGTTCTGTGAGAGATTTCAGTGTGGGATCAGACCTGGAGAAAGTTTAGCAGCAGAGGGTGGATCTGCGCAGGGTTGGGACAGATCTCCATGCTGCTAAGAACTTTCAGTTTTATCTTTTCTAAGCCTGACCAAGAGAAATCTGATTTTCAGAGTTTGTGCAATTTTAACCTATTTTAGCCACTTCCCTATTTTGTAACATACGATAAGAAGGAATTTAACCAAAACCCTTACGTTTTCCTAGAGCAATTATATTAGAAGGTAAATATTTATTCTTAGCAAGGTAAAAATAATACAAATAATAACTTCTCTTCTGTCCATGAATAGACCTTCAGTTGGTGGCATCAAAACTCAAAACAAGGGATGTGACCCAAATGAAGCTTAAGTCTCCTCTACACCTTCCGTCTTTGTGCTTAACACACGATGCTGAATTCAACTACTTATTCATGTGCTCTAGATTGCAAGCTCCTTCATGGTAGGGACCATGACTGCTTCATCTCTTTTTCTAATGACATACGAAATAGAAGCAGGTAGCTTATTGACCAGTTTGAGTCTCCAGATCTCCTCATTTTTCACCAAAGAACCAGAAAACTGAAGCAACTCCCATCTGGGTACAAATCAAGGAAATTATTTCTGTGAGGGGAGGAACAAACCCTGGCTGAACCATTTCTCTTCCTCTAAAATGGGGGCAGAATTAAACCTTGTAGTCAGACTGACCCCAATTTGCACAGGACATCCTCAAATGTCTCCAAAATTCACAGGTGCTGGTGAGAGCGTCCCCAGTGACTATGGGCTGACGCCTCCATAATGATCCTGAGACAGGAGACACTCAGGCTTTGTGGGGTGCAAATATTATAGAAAATGGTTCTGCCCTGGTGGAGCAACAGATCCCGAATCTAGCTGTAATATCCCCTGTCCCTGTCCAGCTAAGTCTGAGGTAAGGGGAAGAACAAAAATACTCTACTCCACTAACAGTTTACAGGGAGGCACAGTTGTGATTATGGCTCTGGTTATTTTGTAGCTCTGACCTCCCACTGCTAAGGTGCTTGTTTAACTTACAGGATTCTGTTGACACCAGAAGCCTCTCACAGAGCTGCAGCAGGTCACTGGACAAGATCTGGAAAACTCAAAGGGCTCCACTCTGAAACTGATGCTTAAGATGTCTATGTTGACCTCTCATGATGCAGAAAATGTCTTCTGTGAGTTTTCTGTATGTCTTCAACCCAAAGTCTGGCCCTGTCTTGTGAATCCTAGGCAGAGGCCAGCTTTTATGTGCAGATTCTAGGTGGGATCAATGTGCCTCTGCATTCTTGGGGGTTACAGCAAGCAGAGTAAAACCAGAGGAAAGATCCTCTCATGGAGGCTCCTTCAACACCTTTTCTTCTCTCAAATCCCAGGACATAAATTCAAAATCTGGAGCTGCACATTTAGGTCTTGAAGGGCTGATGAGTGGTGGCCCATGTGTGGGCATTTGGGCAAGGGGAGGTGGGAGGGAGTTGAAGTTTTCAGGTTTAATTAATGCACATGTGTGATCCTAATTGGGTTTATGGGCCCCATGATCTCTGAATCAGTGTCAGATGTGAAGATGCCAGGAGCACTAATGGAGGTGGACTACTTGACTGCTGTCCTGAAAAGTTATTTTTGTAAAAATCTACTCTACCTGCTCTAGAAGGGACTGTAGATTCCAAAGAGAGACCATTCTGTTTGAAGATTTGGGGGGCACTTTGCTGCACAATTGTGGGTTGTGATTGGAATCCTGAGAAAGAAAGTTCCCTCTAAAGTGAAGCCTGGTGGGCACCTTGTGTATAACATCTAGTAATGCTGGACAGTGTGGAAAACATAACTGAAAGCAAACCCATTTCCGACCCTAAAAAACTCTCCACCAGCCGGGCGCGGTGGCTTACGCCTGTAATCCCAGCACTCTGGGAGGCCGAGACGGGCGGATCACGAGGTCAGGAGATCGAGACCATCCTGGCGAACACGGTGAAACCCCGTCTCTACTAAAAATACAAAAAAAAAATTAGCCGGGTGTGGTGGTGGGCGCCTGTAGTCCCAGCTACTCGGGAGGCTGAGCCAGGAGAATGGCATGAACCTGGGAGGCAGAGCTTGCAGTGCGCCGAGATCGCACCACTGCACTCCAGCCTGGGCGACAGAGCGAGACTCTCTCTCAAAACAAACAAACAAACAAACTCTCCACCATAACAGAACAGCAAGAAAACTGTTTTGTTATATAATTAAACTAAAATGTGATGTGCATCACAGGCAATATACTAAGAGATTGCAAACAGAGAAAGGTCAACATAATTAGTATTCAACTGTACCATTTGTCATACACAGCTTATTATAATTTGGGCTGTCATCTGGGTTTTCTAATTGGTAATATTTAAAGGAAAAATAAACTTCCCTCATCTTCATGACAGGAGGTAGTGTTGCAATGTGGAGTTAGACACCTGCTGAAGGCAGCCTTCTACTCTCCTACAGAAACTGTGGGAAAGGGTGTATAAACTTGCTAATTACATTTCAAAGCAATAGTTCCCAGGTCCTAGATTAAGACAATTCTGAGTCAAACACACACACACACACACACACACACACACACACAAAACCAAATGACCTATTTAACTGATAAAAATGATTTACATATATTTCAAAGAAGTAGAGAAAGGTTTTCAAACTAAATGCTTTAAGAAAAGAAGAGCAAAAATTCTTCCCTCATTTTAAAGAGAAAGCATTAAGCCTTTTCTTTCTAATTTGTATTTGCTCCTACAACAGCCGGGTCTAAAGGCTTGGTCTTGAACTCATTAACATCTGACTTCTAGTAGGCACTGGATTCAGGCACTGGAGGGATGGCCTTGGGCACACTGTGTACACATGAAAGAGGATTTGTGGGGAAGAAAAAAGCAGAAAAGAGAAAGATGCTATCAAGAACTATGGGTGGGGATGCAGGGCAGAATTGGTTAAGGAACTGGTTTGTGCTACAGATACAGGCTCAGGCAGCGCTATGTTCTGACTTATTCCTGTGTTCATACAATCAGAAGAGATTATGATCAGGTAGTCCAAGAAACCTGGGTTGGTGAAAAAAACAGGTTCCCGATAGAGATTCAGTGTCTACAGTTGAGATAAGCCAGGAGTCTTCTAGGCACCTGTGTATGTTCTTGGCAGAAAACTCTAGGAGGAAAGCTGTTGTGAGCACAATTCCTGAGGGTAAAACTTTGTCGTGGGAGGAGTGTAGCCAGATCAATTTTTAGTGGGTATGTTCAGGAGTGGGTTAGAAGCATGTAGGGGCTGGCAGCAGGGTCAGGGGAGGGAATAGGTTCTCAGAGCTCCTTCACTCTAAGCTCTCGTTCCATCTCACAGTAGGAGGAGACCTGGAATTACAGGACAACGCACAGGGTGACGACAAGCCTGTGTGCAGAACAAAGCCTCACTTCCCTCAGACACCTGGAGTCTCCTTATAGACCAGGCCCCAGTGATGTCTTTCTTCTGACACAAAACGTAAGGAGTTTGCTGAACACCAACCAATTATCCAACACCAACTAGCTGTCCAACACCTCAATTCCAACACCGCCCAGAGTCAGCATAGATCCCACAAGTTCAGGCTAAGTCCCATAACACTGTCCTCACTGCCGATGCCAGTCACATGCCTCCGGATACCCATCTTTATTTCTCAACTACTTCCTACAAATCAAGGGCTTCCACATTCCCCTCCTCAAGCTCAATAATTTGATAGAACTATTCACAGAACTCAGCAAAGCACTGTACTTACATATACCAGTTTATTATTGAAGATACAGCTCAGGAACAGCCACATGGAAGAGATGCATAGGGCAAGAAAAAGTGGTGGTGAAAGCTGGGGCAGGTAGGTAATTCTGCTAAATAGCTGTGACAAAAAATTCCTCATGCTTTTTGTTCTCCGAAATCAGCTTAACGAAAAGAGACACCCTTCCCATTGTGACTTCAATAATACTCTCTCTTCTTTTTTTCTAAACCTATCACAGAGTCAGACATGGACCACACATTTCCATTTTTTTCTCATATACAATTGGCTGAACAATTTCATCTCCGATGGTCAAAAAAAAAAAAAAGCCTATTTGTTCAGATCCCTGAACTTTGACCTATTCTCAGCCTGATTCAACATTCAATCTCTCTTTATTAACCTCCTAAGAAAAAGCTGACTTCAGGGTTGAACGCTCTCTGATTTAGAATCTGATTTTGCCACACTTCATTCTGCCCACCCTCTCTCACCTTCCTTCTAATCTTATTTGCTCTTTCCAACTTTTTTTAAAAGCCCTTTTCTGCCTATCCTTTGAGATCCAATTTACAGTTAATTAAAAAAACCGAAGTTGAAATAAGTGAGCAAATCTATACAGGGGGACAAACTCAGGGAGTGGCAGTGCTTTCTGGAACAGGGACATATGACTCAAGTGTCAAATCAGGCCACCTTATCCCTTGGGACTTTCTATCACCCCCATACTCCTCACTGAAGTGCTCAATGCCCACCCTCCCAGGAGACACTGCACTGTGCCCCACTGTGCTTTTTGCTTTGCAGGTTCTTGCACTGCCTCCCTGGGGTGGGTTTTTCTTGTCCTTCAGGTTAGTTTCTCTCCCTTCGCAAATATAAGACAATTCAGAAGACAGGAATAGTCTATCTTTTTCTCTGAATACCAGCATCTGATTGGCTGACAAGCAATGTGTTTCCATGGAATGAAAACTGGGGTTGGGGGAAAAAAAAAAAAAATCTTAAAAATCCCAAGGGATTCTTTTTTTACAGGAAGGGTAAGCCTGGATATTTCTCTCACCCCCAGGGCATTCAGCTGCTCCTTTGAGAAGCTGCACTCCCATCCCTCAGTGTGTCCTCTGGAAGATTACCAAAGGGCTGCTATTCACCAGAACTCCCAAAATACATGGCTCTGGTTTGTATCTTGGGCCATCTCAAGACAGTTCTAAAACTCAGGACTAGAAAAAGGCCCGAATGTGGCTAAGGAAACATTGCCCCATAAAGTTTCCCAACGAAAACCTCAATCCCAAGATGGCCTAATAAGGGCGTTTGTGCTAAGGGAGGATACAAGGAGAAACAGCAGAAAGATTTTTTACAGTTGAGTGCCAGGGGATTATTTTCTGCTTTTTTCTCATGTGAAATATTTGTAAGTAGAAAATAAGTATTTTACAAATTGCCATCCACTGCTCTGTGAAAAAGTGATTAATTCAAATACTGTTTCTGAAATGTGCAATAAAGGACAAAAACAGTTGATAATGTATGGGAGCGTAGAAGTTGGCTTTGGGGAATGTCAGCAAGAAACCGGAAATTTAAGATTTTACTTCAAGCCAGGTTAGGCTGGCAGAACAGAGTAGTGGATGTGAGACCCTGCTTGCCACACATTTGGAAAATGCAGGCGAAAACCAGTGTCTTTGATTAAAGTTAAAATAATTACATAGCAGTCATTTAGACTGAAGTGGCTCTAGTGGTCTAGGCCTCTATGTAAAAAAAGAAATCTAACTCAAATGCATTTTTTTCTAAGTTACTACCTTAGGAGGAAACGAAATTCAAGCTTAAACAACTACAAACCTCCAATTAATCCCTGATTACATAACCAGGAAATTTCCACCCAGACACTCCAAATAAAGCGACTACATAACTGTACCCAATTATTTAATTGTCTTTGCTTCCTCACACACCTTATACAAGCCTTTCTTTCAAGACCTTCTAGTAGCCCCCCAACCACAAACCATTGCTGAGCGCTGTCCCATTAATTAATCACTGTTTACTCATATAAGCTGTCTATGTTTTAATGGCGCCTCAGTCTAATTCCGAACAGGGTAAGGTAGGGACGGGGGACCCCACGGACCACAGCTCCTTCCACGCAGGAACCCTGCACACCGAGTCGGCGTCTTTCCGATGACTTTCGCCTCATCACCTCACAACCTGGGGAAGATGCAGGGCTGCGGGCGCAGAGCTGCGCAAAGAGGGCTACAGGCTGGGGCCAAAGCCGCCGTGCAGGGACAGGACAGGACGCCCGGAGTCCCTGCACCGGAGGGGACTGAGGGCTGAGCTGCAGACTCGACTCGCAGACTAGGTCCCGTCACCGCCATGTCCAGCCGGTTCCAAGGAGCCCCCTCCCCAGTCTCGGTACGCCCTGCCCCCCACACTCACCATTTCTCGGCTTCAGGGGTGTCCTGGAGTCTTAGCTATAAATCATTCAATGCCAGCAGGTCACAGAGCGACGGAGTGAGTGGCAGAATCACCGAAGTCTCCCGGAGCAGAGGACACAAGGCAATGAAGCCCTAACCCCGCGCTCTGGCTGAAGTGAGACAAAGGCCGCGCCAGATTCCGGAAGCCGCCCCTTCCTCCCTGGCTGCGCGCCTGATTGGACAGTTCCCACCCCAGAGCCCTGATTGGATAGTAGTGCAGGCACCGCGACCTCAGGCCTTGCGTGTCAGAAGATGCTACCATACACTGCACGGAATGAGCCGAGAGTGACAGGCTCTTGGCTCCAGTCACTTTCAGGCAGGGCTTTCTGTCTGTGCTGCGCCTGGCTCTGCCCAGGGGTCATTTTTTTAGCATTGTGGTGTATAACGTTATGAAGGTTATGTTCGTTTATAAAACACACACACACGTTGTTCACAAATGGAAGCAATATAATGACAATTATTTAATATTTCAGATTTCATAACCTTTCTGGCCGCCGGTCTTTGGAGTGGGACACCTAAGATTTTAAGAGAGAAGCAATCCTCTAAAAAATAAAACGTTAGCTATTGTGAATTTTAAATGTCTTATTAGCCAGATCAAAAATAGTAATAAAAAGAGTCCTGACATGGTGGCTCACGCCTGTAATCCCAGCACTCTGAGAGGCCAGAGGTCAGAAGTTCGAGACCACTCTGGCCAACATAATGAAGCCCTGTCTACTAAAAATACAAAAATTAGCCGGGCATGGTGGCGGGCGCCTGTAATCCCAGCTGCTTGGGAGGCTGAGGCAGGAGAATCGCTTGAACCCAGGAGGTGGAGGTTGCAGTGAGCTGAGTTTGTGCCACTGCACTGCAGCCTGGGTGACAGAGCAAGACTCCATCTCAGAAATAATAGGAATAATAAAAAGAAACAAGTGAAATTGTTTGTAATACTCTTTAAGCCATTATACCCAAAATATTATTTTTCATGTGTGGTCAACAAATAATTATAAATATTTTGGATCTAAATCTTTTAAACTCGCTGTGTATTTTATGTTTGCAGCACATTTTACTTCAAACCAGCAGCCATGAGGGCTCTGATGCTCCGATCTCAGGGAGGTGAAGGCCTGAACACCTCTTTTTTTTTGTATTTCTAGGCTATTTATGATTTTTAACACAGACTAAATCAAATTACTGTGCCTGAAAAATCTTTTGCTTTGAAGGCAAGTGACATAAAGACAGAGCTGCTGATATTTTTTCCTGCTGCAATTTAGCCAATCAGCAGAATATGCTTTGAAGGGTAAAGATGTTTTCTAAGACCCCACATTCAGGAGCAGCTATGGGGCAAATCCCTAAAGCACACATAAAAATCACATACAGCCAATGTATTCCTCACCCTGAATCAATGCTTCTCACCCTTGGCTGCATATTTCAATAACCTTGTAGAGGAGTGTTTAAAGTCTTCAAACCCAAGTTGCAATGGGGTAATTAAGTCAATCTCTGGAGTGAGACCTAGGCAACAGTGTGATTTAAAGCTCTCGGGTGATTATAGCACACAGCTCAACTCCCATGTTACTGCTTTAAACCAACATCTTTTGGAGAGCCAGTTGAAATTATTTCTCAAATTAACATAGAAGTGTTTGCTGCTGAGTTGCGGCCTTTCAGTCTTGATTACTTACTTTCTATCCTTTGCAGAACTGACCTCTGCTACTTGTTTTGTTTCTGATTCACACCAGTTCCACACACACTGAGTGCACACTACGTACAGGGCCCTGTGCTAAGTGTCCTGGCCGTGGTGAGTACTATCGTGGAGGAAGGACTTTGCTGTAAAAAATTGCATTCCCCAAAACTACAACCATGCTACTTACTCAATTGAGGTAAAAATGAAAGATCGAGGGGGACCCCCAAGAGTCAGGATGTGAATAAATACCTTGGAATATTAATACCCATCTCATGATGTCTGACACTAAATGCCTCACTTTCAAACAAAACAATACCAAACATTGCTATTATTCTGTTAAGATTAAATATGTAATATTTAAATTTTATTGAATGACATGCATACAGAAATATATGTCCAAAGCATTAACATAATGCTCAGTAAATTATTACAAACAAATACATTTGTGTAGGCATAGGATAGAACTAGCCTTGTTTCTGCCACACAAACCACTTTCTCTTTTCCTCCCCTCCAAAAGTAACCACAATCTTAAGAGCTAATGTTGTAGATAAAGTTTGTCTTTTTATACAATTATTTTATTAGAGAATATTTTAAACATATATGCAATAAGCAATGTAGTATAATAGACTGATGCTCAGCCTAAACATCTACTAATTATGTGCCATTTCTGTTTAACTTCTACTTCAACTCATTCCCCATCCCCACTTTATTATTGTTTTTAGTTATTTTCTATGAGATAAGATGTATATACATTGAAACATACAATCTTTTCTGTACCTTTTTAACAAATAAATACACTCATATAACCTTTTCCCTTTTAATTATAGAATTACCCCCACTTAACAATTATTAATATGCATGTGAATCACCTGGGAATATTATTTAAAAACCTGATTTTGATACGATATACTTGGGTTTTGCCTGAAAATCTGTATTTCTAACAAAATAGAGATCCATAGAGCACATGGTAACTACAAGGTGTCTTTTATCTAAAGCGTATAAAATTTGATGAATAAAATTAAGAAAAATTGAGCTCAGGTAAAAGAATACATTAAAATGAATATGCAATATGCTATCTATAGGAGATTTGGTTACTAATGACTCACATTCATAGGTGGCCTTTACAGAATTACCCAAAATGAGTCATTTACACACCAAATGCACACAATTTTCATAGCTTCCCATTAAAATTATATTTAATGCCTTTACAAAATCTAACTCAGCTTTCTTACAAAATAAGTAACAACATTTTATATGACATTATAAGTTCCATCTATATTAAACCTAAACTTACATAATTTTATTAGGTAGGGTCTGTGTGTCTACCACCCAATATTCTTTTGGGTTCCACCATTTGCACAGGCACCACAGCTGAGGAGCACAGATTCACCACACACAAGATGTTCCCTGCATCTTTTTCTTTCTCAGGGTATCAGTTTATCAGTCAATCAAGTCATGTGAGAATGGAGGTCATGTATTTCCTGGCATAGAGTGTCTCATGGACCCTCTCTTCAGGGGAGAAAAATACTAGAAGGTTCTTTTAGGGGGCACTTCCTGGGACATGGGCTAAGCCATGTAAGGGATGAAGGCTCAGACCAGCAGGTATAGACTTCTCAGAAGGGAAAGATGAGGCAACCATTCTGAATCTGGACCTCTACCACTGCTTGTCCCATCTCATCAAGACAGTTCTGAGGGATTGTTCCTAATGTCTGGATGGTGGAGGTTGGGGAACAGTATGGGCTTTGATGGGACTCAGGTAAGATCCGTCATCGGAAGGCAGGAGGCCAGTGCTCAGCATCTGAATTTGTGTCCTTGTGGACAATGGGGTGCCTTTTTAGGTCCAAGTCCATTTTCACCAAAGAGGAGGCTGGAGACTCTGAATGGCTCCCAGATTCCATTTATGATACTTTTTGGGGTGGGGTCAGAATGGGTCTGAGTTTCAGTATCTTTGGGGAATTCTGAAAAGTCTGTTTGGGGAATCTGGAAAGACCTCTTGCCTGGTGCCCAAATGCTTGGTTTTCTGTCCTGGATTTATACATTCTTGGGAGCCAGAGAGCCAGTTTTGCATTCACACCAACACAACTGAGTCAGAAGTGGAAGCAGCCAAGACAGGTGTCTTGGTGACAGGTGTCTCATCTTTGCCTTAGTTCCTCCCATCAGTCTTGGTAAAGAGTCCTGGAGTCTGGAGCTGCTGGGGCTTTCCTGGTCCCAGGTTCTGCTTTTCCTTCTCATTTGGCCCAAAAGCTATGGGACTGTACCCTATCCTAGCACTTCACTGGGCATCTTCTGGTTCTGTCCATGTGCCCTAAGACTTGGTAGCTCTTTCGCTTTCTCTGTAGGTTGAAGAGAAGGGAGGTCAGTGAGTCCGAATCATCACAGGCAGCTTTCAAAGATTAATCTTAGGATGATTTTTTGAATTTAGGTATTGATTTCCTAGGACTGGACCCAGACAAGTGACATACTGGGTGTCTGAAAACTTATGATGCATTAGTAATATTCACAACCCATTTTAAACTGAGAAACAAAAAGAAAATACCAAAATGGTAAGGGTTACGATAATCCAGGTAAGTTTATCAGCTCAGATTGTGAATCCTGAGCAAATTCTACAGAACACAATGTGGCTCCCAGGATGAATGAGGGAGGGTGAGATAGAGCAGAAGTTTCCCTCTCCAGCTGGGCTTTCTGCTGCCTTAGGAATTGGAAGTTGATTGAGTTAGCACTGGCTCCAATCTGATCAATTCAACGTGATCATATCTGATCTAATTATCCTTCCAACATTCAAGGGATAAAGGAATATTCTATTTGGGGTTTACTTTTCTGCAGCCCTGTATATCTTAATGGCACACGCAGCCCAACTAGGCCTTCAAGATGCCACATCCCCTATCATAGAATTTTATTTTATCATATATATATATATTTAATACAATCAAGTATAATTTAATATTTGTCATTTCCAAGCATTTGAAAAATTATGGCCTATATATATACACACACAATTGTAATACTATAATGATTTTCTTCATGTGCAAAATATATATACAACTGTTAATATATGGTCTGTTTAATTTTGCATTTTGAATCTGGGCAGAGTTTTGAGTACTCCTGGGTGGGAACTGGGCCGGGAAACAAAAGGTGATGAGCCTCCTGCATTCTAGTCCCGGTGCCTCCTGGTTTTGTTATATCTTGTTTTTTGATGCTATGGCAGGACTCTGCAAAAGTCTCCCCTTATGTGTGTCTAAATCCCCAGCATAATCACATCCTGAAACATTCCTTATGGAGGCTATGAAGAGCGGCAGGCAAGAGAAATCAATCTCTTCAGCCAGTAAGAGTGAGCCATGCTTATAAACAGGGGCTTATGGCCGGACACGGTGGCTCACTCCTGTAATCCCAGCACTTTGGGAGGCTGAGGCAGGTGGATCATGAGGTCAGGAGATTGAGACCAGCCTGACCAACATGGTGAAACCCCGTCTCTACTAAAAATACAAAAATTAGCCAGGCCTAGTGGCACGCGCCTGTAATGCCAGCTACTCAGGAGGCTGAGGCAGGAGAATCTTACATTGAGCCAAGATCACGCCACTGCACTCCAGCCTGGGCGACAGAGTGAGACCCTGTCTCAAAAAAACAAAACAAAACAAAAACAAAAACGAAGCAAAGAGAGACTTAAAAAAGACAAGTCCAGCATAACATGCTACGCTCTGAATCTGGATGTGTAAGAGAGAGGACCTTTTGTTTGAGCTTCAACATGGAATGGGGAACTACAGACCAAAATTCTCACTGTGCCTCCATCCAAGACCTCACTGGCCAGCCCCCTTTCCAACATATCTCCTTTGCAGAAAGGGGCTCAGATGAGGAGGAGAAATGATTTGAAGAAAAAGGCAAGATGCTCTCTTTCCATTCCAGTGAGAGCTGCACTCAAAGCTCAAGTAAGACCTTGGGCTGTTCTTATGAAGGTTGCAAAGAGGGGTGGAATCAAGGATACTAAGCTGTATGTCTTTGATAGGAGTTTATTTTGTAATTGAGGACAGGAAATGGATTACAGCCCTCAGGTGGCTTTGAGAAATGTGGTGATGATCTCCTGGAACTGTATTCTTCCCACTCACTTTTGACGCTGGCTGAACAGCATCAGTTGAGAAAATGACCCACAAATATGAGTCAGAAATAGATTATGGGACTCTGGGTCTACAGAGAGGTGAATCACCCGAACTCCCTTTTCCACTAGGACCAGACCGCAATCCAAATGGGAAATAGAATTCCAAGAAAACTAAGCTCAAAACCAGAAACAGCAATGCTAGATCAAGTAAGACTTGACTCTCCCAAGGTGAGAAGGGACAGGATATAGATTAACACAGTCTCCCCTGGGAAAGAAACTGAGAGCGTTTTTGAATGCAGCACTTTACAGATCCTGGGCGCTGGAGCACAGAGGAGAGCTGAGTTTTTGTGGAAACCTCATCTCTAGTGTATCAAAAATGGACTAAGGCTTCCAAGGTGTTCAGTTGGAGGCACTCACACACACTCCATTTTTATCAACAGAATCAGAGTCCAGCTCAGATGAGCAGAAGAAATGAAGAAAAAAAATAATTTCAAGGACACCTGACAAGATAGAGCAGGTAGAGAGTCTTGCTTTTTTATCCTAACAGACAAGCAAGACAAGCAAGGCTTGGGTAAGAAGGGGTCTTCTTGGTGGTTGAAAGAATTTTAGAGATCCTGGCATTCAGAGAGCATCTGGGGACCCAGGAGCGAACTCAATCTCACTTTATTAGGCAGGCTGAGGGAGCTGGCAAGTGGGAGGTGACAAGTGGGGGTCACCTGAATGTGCATGGGAAGGTTCTGGAATGAGCTTCTGTGTGAACTATTGTGGTGAATCTTTAACTCACGTGCTTTCTCCACAGGAAAGAGTCTAGGATATGAGCACAGCTTGACTTTGAAAAAGAAAGCAAAGGACTCTGAGGATGGACACAGTAGCAAATTAAGAAGACCAGTGATGCCCACCATAAGAGACCCTCAAGGGGTGCCACTGGGCACAGCAAGCAGCCCAGATCTTGGTTACCGAGAGACCAACCACCACCACTTCAAAAGACTGGTGACTCCCTGCATGCTATTTCTGAGGGCGTTATCAAGACCCAGTCCAGGTATGGGCAGAGGTGCATTCTCACCTGATGTGGAAGTAGCTTTCTTCCCAGATTCAGGGGCTTCTGGGCACTGTGCTGGAGGCATTCTACACCATGACTACCCAGGTAGCCTGTGTCTTCCCTGATGATGAATGGCTCATCCCAGTCACACTGCCTGGTCCCAGGGAGACATCCCTGTCTGGAGGAACTAAGAGCTCCTCCTAGGATGGAGATGGGTCTGCCTCTTCTCTAGTCAGGAGATAACTGAGTCAGTAAGTGAATAAGGTGAGGCTTGCGCTGGGGGCACCCAGACCTATTCAGCAGAGGATGCAGTTCTGGAAACAAGAACAGAGCTGCTACTTCTCAGATTCTTCCAAACGACCGGCAGTGACAATTTTAGAAACACTTTGTTAATAAATAAAAAAATTGGCCAGGTACAGTGGTTCATACCTGTAATCCTAACACTTTGGGAGGTCAAGTGGAAAGACTGCTTGAACTCAGGATTTGGAGACCAGCCTGAGCAATATAGTGAGACCCTGTCTCAAAAAAAAAAAATTATTTAGGTGGAGCATGATGACGTGTGCCTATAGTTTCAGCTACTCTGAAGGCAGAGGCAGGAGGATCACTTAAGCACAGAAAGTTCAGGCTACAGTGAGTTGAGGCTACAGTGAGTCATGATCACACCACTGCACTGCAGCCTTGATGGCAGAGTGAAACTGTCTCAAAACAAAAACAAAGACAAAAATAAATGACAGAACCTTGCGCTGTCCTGAAAAAGGAACTTGAACAATATACTCAGAATTGGGAAATCTGGGTTTCCTTGAGGGCTAAGATTACTACATATTTTATATTTTCTGTTAGATATTTGATGTATTTTGGATCTCTTATGACAGTCAGTTGCTAAATAATAATTATTTAGAAAGAACACCCATCAAGAAGCTCTGAATTTAAAAGTAAAAATAAAGTCCTAACTGAAAGACAGACAAGAACATCTTAACATGTGGCTTAGAAAAAGATAATCAGTTAAAATTCATTCATTTAACAAATATTTATGAAGCATTCACTACAAGGCGACACCATGCTAAATACTCATGAAAGGATAAAGATGTAAAAATGTGAGAGCCAACAGTCTAGAGGGGAGAGAAACTTGTAAAGTAAATCATCACAATTGTTACAATGGTGATGTGCAGCACAGAACAACGCGCATTTCTTTGTTCGTGGGTAGTGTATGTATGGGTAGTACCTGGTAACAGGCAAAGAAAGCTTCACAGAAATGGTGGTTTAAACTGCACTCTGGGCTGGGCATGATGGCTTACACTTGTAATCCCAGCACTTTTGGAGGCCAAGGTGGGCAGATCACCTGAGGTCAGGAGTTTGAGACCAGTCTGGCCAACATGCTGAAACACTGTCTCTACTAAAAATACAAAAAAAAAAAAAAAAATTAACTGGGTGTGGTGGTACACACCTGTAATCCCAGCTGCTCAGGAGGCTGAGGCAGGAGAATCCCATGAACCCAAGAGGTGGAGATTGCAGTGAGCCGAAACTGCGTCACTGCACTCAAGCCTGAATGGCAGAGTGAGACTGTCTTAAATTAAAAAAAAAAAAAATAGGCTGGGTGTGGTGAGTCTCACCTGTAATGCCGGCACTTTGGGAGGCCGAGGTGGGTGGATCACCTGAGGTCAGGAGTTCCAGACCAGCCTGGCCAACATGGTGAAACCCCATCTCTACTAAAGATACAAAAATGTCCTGGGATCACCACCTTTGGCCTCTCCCACTCCTGCCCTCTGTGGGGTGGCCCAGGTTGTGCCCAGCTAGGCAGCTCTGCTGCCCTGAGTTCTAAGTGCTGGGACAAGCTGTCTGTCCACTGATGACCTCAAACCTCCGTCCAGGCTGCGTTCAGATTCTGCTCATCATCAAGCACCTCATTCTCTGAGGGCCCCAGAGGATCCTGTGCCATGATCCCAACTTCAGCCTGACACTGGGCATAGTGTGGGGAAACCTCCCAAGGTACAGGAGGGGAGAGAGGATTCTGCTGGGCATCTAAGGGGCTTGCTCTGGAAGGGGTCAGGCACCCCAAGGCCCAGCCTGGCCATGAGCAGCAGATGGGCCCTCTGGCCTCCTGCAGGGCGAGGATATTGAGTGTCTGACCCAGGGAGGCGTGCTCTGATCAGGTGGGAGTGCAAGCAAGCTCACCTGCAGGCTGGGCTGTCACAGCGGAGCAGGGAGAGCTCTCAGTGGCAAGTTTTACACAGATAGCCCCGTGGAGAAAAGCAACTTACTTTGCACAGTGATATTCCCTGCTTTTCAGAGCAAAGTTTTTTAGGGGTTGTTTAGGAAAAGTGGGTAAAGGTTTGTTTTGGTTTGGTTTTTGCAGACAGAGTCTCGCTCTATTGCCCAGGCTGGAGTGCAGTGGTGCGATCTCTGCTCACTGCAACCTCTGGCTCCCAGGTTCAAGTAATTCTCCTGCCTCAGCCTCCTGAGTAGCTGGGACTACAGGCATGCGTCACCATGCCTGCCTAATTTTTTGTATTTTAGTAGATGTGGGGTTTTGCTATGTTGCCCAGGGTGGTCTCAAACTCCTGAGCTTGGGCAATCCGCCCACCTCGTCCTCCCAAAAGTGCTGGGATTACAGGTGTGAGCCACCACACCCAGCCGAGGGTAAAGATTTTTTTTTTTTTTGAAATGGAGTCTCACTGTGATGCCCAGGCCAGAGTCCAGTAGCATGATCTTGGCACACTGTGACCTCCACCTCCCAGGTTCAAGTGATTCTCCTGCCTCAGCCTCCCGAGTAGCTGGGACTACAGGCGTGTGCCACCACGCTTGGCTAATTTTTGTATTTTTAGTAGAGATGGGTTTTACCATATTGGCCAGGCTGGTCTCGAACTTCTGACCGCGTGATCCACCTACCTCGGCCTCCCAAAGTGCTGGGATTACAGGCATGAGCCACCATGCCTGGCTGGATAAAGATTTTTAAGAATTTCAGTGACTAAACTTTAAGAAGGAATGAAGCCCACGCAGGAACTCTGTATGACTTTCAACCCGAGGGGCTCTGGCCTGGGCTTTCCAGTGACTGGCAGCATCGGGACATCCACTGCTGTGGCCTTGGCCCCATTTCCCGTGTTGTGCCCCCCACTTGCTGCAGATGCCCTGACGGCAGCGTGGCCAAACAAGGGGAGGAGCTGTGAGCACAGACATGGCCTGCTGGTCAACAGGGCAGGGAGAGCCAGCCTGGCACTGAGCTTGCAGCCTGGTTGGGGGAGATACCCAGAGCGCCAATACCACACAGACCCTCCAGGACTGCTGGGGTCAGTGGGCAGGGTCCTCTGAGGTGTCAGACCTGCCCCACCTGTCGGGGGAGGGTAGGACAGGTGGGACGCTTGCAGGCTGAGCTGCATTGGGCGGCGAGGCTGGGGGCACCCTCACCCCACTCCAGGCAGGTCCTTCACAAGCATGGAAACAGGAGTGACTGGGATGCACCGCCAGGTGTGAAAGGCACCTTGTCCTCTCCTAGAGGAATCCAGCCCAAGGACTTCCCCACTGTTGCCTGGACCTACTGGGAGCTCAGGCCCCAGGGCCTCTGCACAGCTTTGCCCTTGCCGGGTGTGCCCTCCTCCCCACTTCAAGCCCAGTCCTACCTTCCCCCTCAGGTTTACCTGGCCCTAGCATCTACCCCAGCTGTCCTGCCCTCCTGCTAAACTCCCAACCCCTGACCCCAAAGGCCAGAAGAGGTATCTGTTCACTGAAGGATGCCAGGGACCTTCTTCCTGTAGGGGGATGGATGGGATTCAGCTTGCTGGAGGGGATGGCCATACTCCAGCCTCCTCACAGGGAGCGCCTCCCTCTCCACTCTCTCCCCAGGAATGGCTCTTGGAGGCTCAAGGGAGCCTGAGCCTCTGCCCATCTGTAAGCTGCCTCCAACTCTCAGTCAGGGTTTGGATGCCCCAAGTGCAGTCCTGAGGCCCCCGCCCCCCCCATCCTACTGTCCTGGCTTCTGAGGCATCTGCAAATCATAGGCCTCCCATGGAAGGGGAGCAGCAGGCGAGGTCTGCATGAGCCTCACAGATGCCTGCTCACCTGCTGGACTTAAAGTCTGTGCCCCTCCCCGACCACCAGGGTACCCAGATCCCAGGTGGCTCAGCCAGGCCCAGAGCCCCAAGAGCTGGGCTGTTCTCTCTAACTGGGATCTGGGGTAGGGGCTGCCCCCACCAAGTCCCTGGGGGACTGTCTGGGACATCCAGGCCCTGTCTTCTTGTCTTAACCACTCACAACAGAGAACACAGATGTTCTGTCCAAGAAGGAAGCCCCCACACTCCTCCCATCCTGCCTCTATTTAAATGCGTGGGCATGACCACCCCGAGCCAGCCTGTAAGGGGTCACGGGGCCATCGGGGAAGCAGTGTGGAGAAGACCCCTGGCCTGGCCTCAACCTGCTCGCAAGGGAGCTAAGAGCTGGGGACAGAGCCTGGAAGCCGCAGCCTTTGCACCCAGGCAGGCCTGCCCACCTACCCCCCACGCCCCACACACCTGCTGACAGCCTCCTCTGTCCTGGCCACTGTGGGCAGCGGGAGCGGGGGGCCTCCCGGCCCGGACCCGTGTTCACAGCATCCATGGCACTCACTGCCTTCTGGTCGTCATGTATCGCTGTCGGAGCCCCCACAGGAGCTGCTGTCAGAGGCCAGCAGGGGGGCCTTCCTGGTGACACACACGGAGGTACACGGAGGTACATGGAGAAGCTGGGCTGACTGCAGAGTAGGAGGCCTGTGCTGTCCAGTGAGGCAGGAGGGGCCACAGGGTGTGGCAACCCCGGCCATAGGGATCCCTTACGTGTAGCCCTCTCACATGCAGCCTGTTGCCTGCACACGTGTACCTGTGTGGAAACAGCATGACGAGGCTAACAGGCTCACACACCTTCCATGTGGTCTCCATACAAGCAACACTGTTGCCTCCCCCATGATACAGGGCAATGTGCTCTGGTCTCACATGAGGACGCAGAGGCTCAGGAAGGGGCCCGCTCTGCCTTGTGTGGTCCCGCCACAGCTCCTTCAAGCACCGGGGACACCCGTGTTGGAAGCCAGCTGTCGCTCGCCTGGAGCTCTCAGCCTTGTCTGAGGCAGCCTCTCGGCCTGACTAGGGGCCTGGGGGCCAGGGGCTCTGATCAGGCCCCAGAATGGCTTCCTGCCAACAACCCACCCACACACATCTCAATGCTGGGGTCCTGGTGCTGCTGTCTAGAACCAAGGGTGCAGACCTGGGCTGTGCCACCTGCTCAGACGGGGCTCAGGGCCAGCCCAATGGCCTTGCTGCCTCCCCTCTGGGGGCTGGGGGCCTCCCCATCTGCACGTGGCTGCTCCAGTCCCACTGCTGTATCAAACCTCAATGTTACCAGAGACCTAGCAGCATGCGGGGTCCTGGCCACCTTCTCCCACTGACCCCAAGGAGGGGGGCCAGCTGGCCTCAGGCCTTACACTGGGCAAGGCTAGGCCTCTGCAGGAGGCTGGGTGCTGCCTGCACTGCTGCTACTCACAGGCTTTCTCGAAGCCTTGGCTCTGGCTGCCTCAGCCTGGCTGTGTTCTGTGTCCATCAGAGAGCTGCACCTGGGCCCTGATTCAGAGCTACAGACAAGGACGAGGACAGGGTCAGTCCCGGGGGACGGGCACCTCCTGACCCTGACAGGCACTTCCTGACACGGCCCCTTCCTGCCAATACATTTGTTACCAGCAGAAAGGCTGGAATTCGGTGAACTGGCCCAGGCTTTCTCCTCTGGAGCTGAGGTGCCAGCTGCCCACACGCTGGAACCCATGTCCCTCACCCCTCCTGGGGCTATGGGCGTCGAGTTCGCTGGCTCATCAAACACTGTCATCCACATGGCATCTGCTGGGTGAGAGACACAGTGGTCAGGTGTGGGCAGGCCTGTCTGGGGTGCTGCAGGCAAAGGGGAGGCAGCGTACCCCCCCCACCGGGGGCCCCACAGAGGTTGACAGGAACATGGGGCTGCTCCAGGAGGGAGGCCCAGGCAGTGCCCCTCAGCCCCTCAGAGAATAACAGGGGACAGCTCGAGGGTCCTGACAAGCTGCCAACATCCATGGGGCATGTGAACCAGGGCTCAGCCAGGCGCCTGAGGGCCCCCAGGCCTCCAGCAGGGCTGACACTGACAGTGTGGAGGTGATGCCACTACCCTCCATGATCCGGGGCTCAGTCAGGCACCTGAGGGCCCCTAGGCCTCTGGCAGGGCTGACGCTGATAGTGTGGAGGCAATGCCACTGCCCTCCATGACCTGAGGCTCAGTAAGGTGCCTGAGGGCCTCTAGGCCTCCAGCATGGCTGACGCTGACAGTGTGGAGGTGATGCCACTGCCCTGTCCTATCCAGGACCGCATCCAACAGAGACGGCAGCTCACCAAGCACCACTGGGCCCTCCCTGGCCTCAAGGATGAGCCGCCTTCCTCCTATCTGGGACGTTCCTGCTTCCCCAGGGTGTTGCCCTTGCTCTCTCTTTTGGCCTCAGCTAAGAGCTCAGCACCTCCTAACAGAGATCCCTGCCCCCTCCCCAAAATCCTGAGTGGGTCAGTGCTGCCCCCAGGGCAGGGGTAAGGAGAGGGGTCTTATCAGCCACGCAGCCTGCAGGGTGGACTGGCTCCTGTCCTAGATGTCAGCCGTGAGGGTGGAGGCCAGCCTGTGCTGCTGCGCTGGGGTGGGCATCAGGCCTGTGCCGCATTGTATGGGGGCCGGGTGGACGATGCGGACTAGGTGGACACCACCCATCAACCTTGGTGACAGTGGCGGAGTGACAACAACCGAGAGGCAGGGGCAGGAGACCACCCTGTGCCGGGCACAGGGCAGCACAGACCCCTACTCAGGATGGCTGGGAAAGAGCTGGAGATGCAGGTTTCGGGCCACTGTGAGCCCCAAATGCCTCAGCTCCAAATGAAGCCTCCACACCCCTAGGCCAGGGTACCATGTCCTGTCCCCAACACACACGTCCCCGGCCCCACAGCACCACCTTCTGAGTCACCCTCCAGAGGAGGGGCTTTGTTCTTTCCAGGGTCTGGGGGGCACCTGCCCCAGGCGCATCACCGTCTGCTTCCAAGCTCGCCTTCCCATCCTGGCCTCCGCACTCCGGGCCATTCTTTGAGCAGCTCTCTGAAGCATGGGGGGCTCCAAACCTCGGGGAGATGCAGAGTCAGATGCCTGGTGGCCCAGGACAGATGCCTAACACTGAGGGTCAGTGACAGCACCAGGCTCCAGGCTGAGGGTGAGCACAGAATGCCCTGAGTGAGGAGCACAAGTCACTCCAGGCCTCAGCTCCGGGCTCCTGAGTGTCACCCGCTGCGTTGGGCGCCAGTGCTTGCAGGACGGGTTTCCTTTTCTGCGAGCCGGCATAACAAACAGCAGGGCGTCTGGGCATCTGACGGGTGTTCTGGGGGCTGCACCTCCTCGGCAGAGGCTTTGGGGGGATGGGCAGGCCCCGCACCTGGCTCTGGCCTTCACCTGGGCAGCACCGCGAGTGTCGCTGTCCTCCGAGATGTCCTCGTCTTCATCAAAGTGCTGGATGCGGTCGCTGCAGCAGGCCTCAGAGCTGCGCTGGGCTGCAGAGTAAAACGCCAAGGTCAGTTTCCAGACGGTCTGGGGGAGAAGGCGCTCTCCCCACAGGGCTCCCAGAGGGGCTTAGTTCAGGATGTGGGCGCCATGGGCTGGAGGGCATGATGGGAAGGGTCAAGAAAAGCGACTGTCCCTAGCTCCACAGAGGGGCCTCTCCCAGCCCCACCGCACAGGCCCACGACAGACCGAGCCATGGGCGCGGCCTGAGCTGCCTGGGAAAAGGGTGCCTGCATGACCCCGCACAGCCCCGCTCGCTCACACTGTCCTCCTCAGTGTCGATGTTGAAGTTGATCTCCGCGATCCTGTCAAATGGGGCGCTGCAAGAGCAAGGGGGATGGCCTCGGCGCTCCCCGCCCGGCCCACTGCTCATCTGGGGGCCTCGGTGCTCCTCCCCCACTGCTCATCTGGGGCCTCGGCGCTCCTCCCCCGGGGCTCATCTGGGGCCTCAGCTCTCCTCCTCTGGTGCTCATCTGGGGCCTCAACGCTCCTCCCCCGCTGCTCATCTGGGGCCTCAGTGCTCCTCCCCTGCTGCTCATCTGGGGCCTCAGGACTCCTCCCCGGTGCTCATCTGAGGCCTCAGTGCTCCTCCCCTGGTGCTCACTGGGGGCCTCAGCACCCTCACGCAACTGGAAACACCTGTTATCTCCCGGCAAGGCCTAAGGGAGCTGCCCCCATGGGACTTCAGCAGCGAGGAGGGGGAGTCGCGCCTCGTGCAGGGGGCATCCAAGTGGACTCACTTGATGTTGTCATGGTCTGCAAACTCCTCATCATTGAAGCCAAACTGATCCACAAAGTTGGCCGTCATCTGCTGGATCTGGTAGTCAGAGAAGTCCTGGGAGGGAAGGAGGGAAGGAGGAACGGAAGGAGGGAGGCAGGGACTGACGCCGGTCATAGAGCAGTCCTCAGGCCTACCGGCTGCTCTTTGGGAACCACAGTCTCTCTAGTTGTTCAGGAGCTTCTCCTCCAGCAAAAGTGGGCAGTAAACTCTGACTGTTCAGGGCTCACGATTCTACCAAAACTCAGGCCGCGTGCTCACTGTGCTCACATCCGAGATACGTCCCATATTCTTTGACTTTCGAGTTTATCTGCTGTGTCCTCAGTGCTCTCATCAAGGTGGAGTGACTTTGGAGTTCTCCCCTCAGACCCACCCCACCCCATACGTGCTCGGAGATGAGCCCCCTCTCCCTTTTGCTAGTGAGATGCCATCAGAGACTTGTCTGGAGGACCAAGTGCAGAGCACACAGGTGCCAGGAAGGGCCCGGCAGGGTGCAGGGGCCGGCCACGCCCTCACCTGCTGAAGGGACAGCTCATTAGGGAAAGCACCCTCAATGTCCTCACTCGAGGAGTGAAGATAGTGAGTACTTGCCTAAAACACAGGCCAGATGGGGTGGGTGTGTGAGCCAGCCCAGCGCCCCAGATCCTGCCCAGCCCAGGGCTCCCAGACCCCACCCAGCATGTCACTCACCAGATCTCTGGGCCCAGGAGGCCTTGCTGTGTAAGGAGGTGCCCAGGTGAGGCCAAGGTCCTGTGACAGCCCAACATCCATGTGCAGGGGGCAGGTTGGTCTCAGGCATATGGAGCCCTCTGCCAACAAGCTACAGCTCCTGGACTGGGAGGGAAGGGACCTGGGGCCAACACCGGCTCTGCACAGAGGTCCTCAGAGACCAGCCCTGGGTGTGGCACAGGACAGGGTCTGTGTTTCAGGCATCAGCCTGGAGGACAGACTGCACACTTGCAGGGTATGCTCGGGCACCCGTGTCCAAGAGGAGCAGGCAGGTGTGCGGCCCTTGTGCCTCTCTTGGCCTCTGCTTCGGGGCAAAGACAGGAGCGTCTGACAGCGTCCCAGCACCGTGCATGCACCAAGGGGGCAGCCCCGAGCCTCCTGCGTCCCAGCACCATGCGGGTGCCGAGGGTCAGCCCCGAGCCTCCTCAACAAGTCCACAGTGTTCCTGCAGTTGGTCTCCGTCAGCGTCTCCTCCACGAAGCTCTCCTAGCAGCCATGGCAATCCACAGGGAGCCCTGCAAGGAAAGTGCTGCCTGGTGAGCCCTGGGAGACCCCGTGCAGGTGGCTCAGGGCACTCAGGCGCTCCGGCAGGTGCATCCTGGGTCCAGAAGGATGGGGCGGTGCTACTGTGGTCAGTCCATCTGAGGGCCTGAAGCAGGAGCTTTGCTGGATGGGAAGGAGGCAGCATAGTCGCGTGTCCGGAGGGGCCAGGGGCCACAGTGAGATTGAGGTGCAGCAACTCTGGGCAGGGTGGGGGGCACTTCTGCCCCTACCGAGACCTCAGTGGGCAACCGAGTTCCAAGTCTGTTGGTGTGGAAGCCCATTCTGAGGAACTCCCAGAAACGCAGAAGCTGTGGAACAGAATCTGAGAAAGCAGCAAGCTTCCTTCACCCTGCCTCACAGGCCCAAATTCAGCAGCAGCCTACAGGCCTGGGTGTGTGTCCTGTCTGTTTTTCTGGGGAGGTCAGAACCCTGGAAGGATTCACAATCTGGAGACTGTATGGGATGATCCAAGAGCTTCCTGCTTGCCCCTCGCCTACCTAAACCACCCCTGCCCTGGGGAGCCCTCCCTGGCCTCCACCTCCACCCATCTCTTTTGCCCTCCTCTTGCCCTGCTCTTATTATTTGTGACAGTGGCCGGCAGGCCTGACCTTGCTAGGGGCTAATGGGGCCCAACCCAGGAGACCCCTCACCCTATGGTCCTGGGGTGCAGGGAGGACCATCCAGAGCTTCCTCACCTTGTACCGGTATAGGGAGGAGGGGCCATGGCTGGGCCCGCCTCTGCCACACATGTGGTGTGCCTGTGTCCACCTAATCCACTGTGCTCTTAAGAAACAGGGTGCTACCTGTTCCCCTGAGACTTGTGCTATGAAGTCTCACACCTGAGTGAGAATGTGAGACTCTCCAACCACCTGAATGCAGAGCAAAGCTGGCACACGGCCAGGACTGCCTGCACCCAGGCAGGACTCCATGAGCTGCAAGGAGCCTGGCAGCGCTAATGGCTTCGGAGCACCAGCTCCAGAGTCACCAACTGCCCCCAGCAGGGACTGTCTCTTGTGCCACATGCTGACGCCTGGTAAGGTCTCCACAGAAGTCTGCCCAACAGAACTGACACATGAGACCCAGGTCCCCCTGAGGATAGATCTGATGTGGGAAGTGAGAGGACAGAGACGGCTGCGGGGTCTTTCACTGTCAGTGCAATCAGCACCTGCTGACGGGCAGAGGGGAGCCTCGGGCAGCAGCTCCTTCAGAGCCCCGGTGCCCGCGACCAGCAAAAGGATGACCGGGTGGGGGGCTCACCTCAGATGACCTCGCTGATGTGCGTCTGCACAGAGCCCCACTCCAGGTTCTGCACCAGTACGTTGGCGATCTGCGTGAGGTGGCCTATGTTCCCACGCCTCATGCCACCCATCGCCCTAAAAGCCACAAGCACCATCAGGGTGGCCGCCTGGCCCCAACCTTGCCAGACCCATGACCCGGTGAGCCAAGTGGCACAGGCCTCCAGGTTCACCTCCAGAGCAAGTGCCCGGCCCTTGCCCAGAGCCCGTGCCCCCGGCCCTGCCTCCAAGACACTTCTGTTTGAGCAGCACCTGCCACGTGAAGCAGGCTCACCCCAACCTCACTACCAAAAGTGCCACTGAGACAGACATGGAGACAGACACTGCTCTCATCCCATTTTACAGACAGGGAAACGGAGGCAGAAAGGCCGTGGTGTGGCCTGAGCCCTGCTGGTGGCAGCAGTGGCGCAGGAGCTGAGCCCACGCTGTCAGCTACAAAGCTCAGGCTCAGCACCCTGCAGGGAGGGTCGGGTGGGACCTCCATGCTGTGCGGCCCAGCTCAGCCTCTGCTTCCCCACAGCTGCACTCAAACCCCTCCCAGCTCCAGTGAGTCCCTCCTCATATCGCCCAGAGCCAGACAGCTCCCAGCAGGACAATGAATGGGTGGGGATGGCTTTGGGTCCAGGACAATAGGCAGGACGTGTGTCCTGACCGGAGGGAGCACCCATTAAGCAGAAGACACGGAAAGACCAAAATAACGTGTCCCCATGTGCGAGTGCTGATGGAGCACCCGAGTTCTTGGGGAAGATCAGGAATGGACAGGGGACCCGCAAGAGGGCAAAGTCTAGGCAAGCCAGGCTGGGCAGGGGCCAGAGCAGGTGCCTGGTGGGGATGGGACTGCTTCCTGTCAGCTCCCTGTGCCCCCTCCCCAAGTAGCATTTGCAGCTGTCCACCCAGTAGGAGGGCCCCTTGCATGGCAGCCTGAGTGTGGAGCTGTGTCGCACACCCAGCGCTCCACCAGAGCATGCAGTCCTGCACGCAGCATCACCAGTGCCCGGCTGAGGTGCGTCTCTGCATCCCTGACTGGCCAGGCTGGGTCCCTCCGTGTCCGAGTGGCTCTTACTGTGTGTGGTCGTTGGCTTCCCAGGCCTCCAGGATCCTCTGCCCCAGGCAGCACTTCTGAAACAACTGGGGGTGGCAGGGGCGGTAGCGTGAGTCAGAGTCTGACTTGGCGCACTGCAACCTCTGCCTCCCAGGTTCAAGCGATTCTCCTGCCTCAGCCTCCTGAGTAGCTGGGATTACAGGCGCCCGCCACCATGCCCAGTTAATTTTTGTATTTTTAGTAGAGACGGGGTCTTGCCATGTTGGTCACGCTAGTCTTGAACTTCCGACCTCAGGTGATTTGTCCACCTCAGCCTCCCAAAGTGCTGGGATTACAGGCATGAGCCACCATGCCTTGCCTCTTTCGTCCTTAAGTTGGAAGCTTAACTCATTAATTTGTAGCCTTTCTTCTTTTCCAGTCTGTCTTTAAAAGGCTACATTTCCCTGTATACAATGAACTTTAACTACATTCTACACATTTTGCTATGTAGTATTTTTATTATTCTTCAGTTCTAAGTATTTGAAAAGTTCCTTTATAATTTTGTCTTCCTCATGAGTTATTAGAAGTGTTTTAGACTCTCAAGCACGTGAGGATTCCACACAGGATGGGCAGGCATGTGCACATCGTCCACCACACAAACATGAGACTGTGAGGTGCATGTTCAGAGATTCCCCAAGGGAGCCCGGACCTAAGCAGCATGGGCTGAAGCCCAGAGGAGGTTCTGGCCACCTAGGCACTCCCCTGGGGGACAGAGGTAGCTGAATGAGGACAGCGGGTCTGCAAGCTACCATCCATAGGCCAAATCCAGCCTATCACTTGCTACTGTAAATATAAAGTCTTAGTTAAACACAGCCACGCCCGTTCATTCACATATTGTCTGTGGCCACTTTCATGCTTCAGAGGCAGAACTGAATGGTTATGACAGAAACTGTATGACCCGCAAAGCCTAAGATATTTACTCTCTGGCCTTAAGAGAAAAGTTTCCTGATCCCTACTCTAGAGCTGCAGTGTCTAACATGGTAGCCACTGGGCAGCCACACATGGCTATCGAGGACTTTAAGTGTGGCTTGTTCAAATTGAGATGTGCTGCAAGTATAAAAGACACACCAAAATTCGAAGACTTTATTTAAAAAAGACAATGAAATATGTCATTAATAACTTTTACATTGATTACATGTTGAAATTATATTACAGATAATATACACTGGGTTAAATAAAATATTAATACAATTAACTTTACCTGCTTCTTTTTACTCTTTAAGGTAGGAAACTTTAACATATGGGGTTCTAATTATATTACTATTGGAGAGCATTGCTCTAGAGTAAGGTTTAATTCAGCTGCCACGTAACTTAGCACACCCATTCCTATAAGATAATGGCAAACTTGAGGTTTACACATTTCCATTTTCCTCAGTGTGGTGACTTTATGCTCATGCAAATGTAATGACTTATATAATCTAGGAAGTAGACCACAACATTCTGTATATATTTTTGTCTTCTAAGCAGTTGTCCCTGATTAATTCATTCATCAAAAGCATTCGTATTACAGAAAGTTTGTGAAAGATCACACAGCTTAAAAAACTGAAAAAACAATATTTTTACAAAATTTTATCATTCTAGGCTTAAAACTGTGAAAATCTATTAAAATCACAGTAGTAACCACACTGAAATCTGAAAAAGGGAATATACCAAAGAACAGTACTTATGTTTGGGTGACAAAATTTAGCACTATTCTTAAAACTTATTTTCTAAATTGCTGTGACACTTTTTTTACAGTTAAAACAAGAAATTCTAATAATTTGAAGTCAGAAAAATACAAAATCATAAAACCTTTGGAAGTATAAGTTTTACAATATACTAAATACTATAGAGTTAATATTTCAAGACAAAAAATACAAAATAAAATTTAAAAGTTGAATTTAAAAAATAAAAGTACATATACCTAATCTCCCAAAATGTTTCTCCAGGAGCATCAGGATTCCACAAATCAATGCTATCTAACTGACGAAGAACCAGCAGAGCCTGAATTTTTTTTAAAAAGAGAAAGGCAAAGAGAAGACTCACTCAAACATGTTTGGTAAACATAACGCTGGAGTATTTATTGTATAAATGCTAAGAAATTGAGCTATTTCATTTGTAGTTTCAATACATAGTAAAAGGTAAAAACAGATAAACTCTGGTGAACACAAACCTCTAGGGAATAATATAGACAGAATGATATCATTTTATTCCCATCATTCTTACTCTAACTGGCATAACCATATAAACCTAAATGATGAATTCAGAACAATATACAACTGTAAAAATTCCTTTAAGAAACAAACAAAATAATTTCAACAGATATTAAAGAACTCTGTGAAACAAAAAGTTAATCCCCAAGTAAGAAGGGCTTGCCAAAATTAATACACACAGCAAAAGATAAGTAAAAATCGTCTCACTTGCCACAAAGTCTCTCGTAACAGAAAAGAGCAACTATTTTTCAAAATCAAGAGAGAGGAAGCAAAATGGATTTTGTATTTCATAACAGATTATCCATTCTAAAGTATTTCAATGGACCATAGAACTGAAATTGGAATTTGGTTCAGAGAACATTAACAGGAATTAAATAATTCACTTACAATATATAACATATAGATTATTACATAAATTAAAACCATCAAAGATATAAAGAATAAAACGTAAACTCTTTCTTCAAACTTATCCTATCTTAACTCCAATTCTACAATCCCAACTCACATTCCTCCCACCCCCCCTCCACCCCCAACCCAGCAGACACTGTGAAGCTCTGGACATTCCTTTCAGTCCTTGGTCAACTTATCAACGTATAAAGGCCAGACCCATATCATCTCATTTCAAACATTGTTATTGTAATTACTTTGAGATATTTAATGAAAATTGCAATTAATTGTGAGAATCTCAAAAAACTATTAATTTAAAGCTCTCCTATCAAAAAAAAACAACACAAATTAAAAATCAAATTTGCTACTATTGTACCAAAACTTGGTACAATTTACTGGCAGTAGCTTTTTCAAGTGACAAATTCTCTATATTTTTGTTTGATAAAACTTTAAAAATATATATTGAAAGAAAACGTATTAGCCTTTTCCCTGCTTTGATTTTTTCATGTTCCCTTTTTTTTGTATTTTCCACGTTTTAACAAAGCCATAAACACAGTATACTCACTTGACGTATCGTTTTTCCTTATTGCTATGTGATCTATATAGGTTTTTGTTGTTGTTGTTGTTGCTATTGTTTTTTGAGACAGACTCTTGCTCTGTCACCCAGGATAGAGTGCAGTGGCGCGATCTCGGCTCACTGCAACTTCCGCCTCCCGGGTTCACGCCATTCTCCTGCCTCAGCCTCCGGAGTAGCTGGGACTACAGGCGCCCGCCACCGCGCCCGGCTAATTTTTTGTATTTTTAGTAGAGACGGGGTTTCACCATGTTAGCCAGGATGGTCTTGATCTCCTGACCTCATGATTAGCCCGCCTTGGCCTCCCAAAGTACTGGGATTACAGGCATGAGCCACCATGCCCCGCAGATCTATATAGGTTTTTTTTTTTTTTTTTTCTTTGAGACGTGGCTTCGTTCTGTGGCCCAGGCTGGAGTGCAGTGATGTGATCTCGGGGCACTGCATCCTCCGCCTCCCAGGTTTAAGCAATTCTCTGCCTCAGCCTCCCAAGTAGCTGGGATTACAGGGGTCCACCGCCACACCCAGCTAAATTTTTTTTTTGTATTTTTAGTAGAGACAGGTTTCACCATCTTGGCCAGGCTGATCTTGAACTTCTGACCTTATGATCCACCACCTCAGCCTCCCAAAGTGCTGGGATTACAGGCGAGACCCACTGCGCCCGGCCCTATATAGGTTTTAATGAATGTTTATCAGCTCACCAAGTTAAAATACCATTCTCATTATTGAATATTAACCCATTCTCCTCCTAGTAAAGTTCTAATATTCTCCTATTGTAATCAAGAGTAATAAGTACCTATGTGTGCAGCTTTTTCCTTTTGAGTTATATTCATAATATTTTTAAAGTCATAGAAATTGAATTATTTGTACAAAAAAAAATGAAATGTTTGTATAGCTCCTGCCAAATAGCGTTCCAAAAAGACTGCAAGAAATGTATCAGTTTATGGGACCAATAGCAATGTACACAAATATGGAAGCAATGACTAAGTAATAAGTGCTAAACCATTTCTTTTTTTTTTTTTGAGATGAAGTCACACTCTTGTCTCCCAGGCTGGAGTGCAATGGCGTTATATCAGCTCACTGCAACCTCCGCCTCCCAGGTTCAGGTAATTCTCCTGCCTCAGCCTCCCGAGTAGCTGGGATTACAGGCGCCTGCCACCGCACCCGGCTAATTTTTTGTATTTTTAGTAGAAATGGGGTTTCACCATCTTGGCCAGGCTTGAACTCCTGACCTCGTGATCTACCCACCTTGGCCTCCCAAAGTGCTGGGATTACAGGCATCAGCCACTGCGCCTGGCCAACACCTGAGAACTTTCAAAACTGGGTTGTTCATAATTAGAATTTTAAAAATCCACAGTCCAAATCTGATAAAGTTTTGCTCTCTATTTAATGTCACCATATCAGAGTTGAAGGTTTCCCAAGTACCTTTTAATGATTTCACTTATTTTGTTTGATATGCTTTTGTATCTTGTGAATACCTCTTTTAGAGTATGTTAATATTTTATTTTAAGAAAAATGAAATTTTACAATATGAATAAATTTAAGATCAAAAGGTTTTAAAGTACCATCAAATATAGTCCCATCATTTTGTCAGTGTGCTATACTGGACTACAACATAAATACTATTACTTTTAACTTAAATGGTAAGGTGGCAAGTCAACGAATCAAATGCTGTGAAAGGGCTAAGAGTATTCAAATAATATGTTTGAAAAGCTTTGGGATGAAAATTTTATATTATATTTTCAGTGCCATTTTTCTCTAGGGCTTTTGATCTGAATAAAATGCTTTAGATTTATCTTTCCAAAGCATCTTATTAACTCCATCTTCCTTAATATGGGCCCTTCGGTCAAGGCTTACTATGAAAAATACAAGTATTTATCAATTATCAAATATAATCACCATGGAGAAATTTTCCTATTCCGTACATCTAAATTCAGAACCTTTTTGAAAACCAAGAGTGCGTTTCGTAAAAAGAAATATGCAAAGAAAATAATGAAAATTTTTTTTTTTAGTAGTTTAGCAATGCCTATTGGACTTACATTGGTGATGATTTGATGGAGTGAATTTACCAGCACATAGTGAAATGTAGAATGTGAATTCTGCACCAGGAAGATCTATAGAAAAAGAAAAAAAAGCAGATTATTTCTATGAGAAAAATACTCAGTAATACAAATGAAGTCAAAAAGAACAGCAAATAGAAAGTTTTTTAAAAAACACTAAGTTTTTAAGGTCTTGAAATGAACATCAATACGTAATAGTGAGAAATGCCGATAGAGGTGAACCTGTTATCCCTCTAGTCTTTCCGTTTATAAAGGATAATGGCATCAGTAAACATAGTTAGATAAAAACCAATGCCCTCACCTTAAACTGTTGGTTGTTGTGAGGGCTTACACGAAGGCAAGAAACAAGGCAGTCAATCATAAGATCCACATCTGCAGGCTGACTGCCCCTTGAGACTGGCTTACTTGGATTAAAAAGCAGGTTCTATAAAAACCCCAACAGAAAACAAAAGCCTTTAAATACCCATGCAGTATTTCTTTACTAATATGTAATAACATCAACACATTATCCATATAGATGGCAGTAAAATTCAGTTGCCAGAAGCAGCACAAAGCACCAATACTGTGGTTCATCCGCCTGATACAATTCTTCCTGTACCATATATAGGTTCCTTTCAGGCCCTGATTGCCACATTATTTTAAACCCAAGTCGGTATATTTATGCTCATTTAAGAAAACAGTGTTTTCTTCATATTCTCAGTCCATTTAGACTGATGAACGCAGTAACAACAAAAGCAAGTCCTATGAACTTATCAAAGAAGAATCAGAACTTTAATGTTAGCAATTCTCTTTGACATAATACTTATGCTAGAAAATTAATTTAATTTTCTTAAACTTTGTAGTAGAGAAAGAATAAGCATATTACCTTAAGATCAACCACCATGGACTGAACAAGTAGGAAAATGACAGCGTTATCTTCCCAATTGATGTAAGTACTTGCTTTACACAGTTTGGCACAGGCAATTGCAGAACTTTTTGTCAGCTGCCTACTTCCTCCGTGGCCAGCAAGAGCTTTTCATAGACTGTCCGGAAACAACTTCTACAGAATTCAAATATAGCGATAAGATAATTTATGAAGTTTCTTCTATTCCAGATTTACCTAATATGATAGCAAATTAACAACCTCTAAAACTCATACTATAAAGAGTGCATAATTTATATTTCTGGTTTTCAATTTCATAATTTAAGTAGTGGTCATCATTTAAATGTTTCTCAAATTAAAAAAAAATCTTTTTTCTATTTTCTTTATTGAATTTTTAAGGGTATATCAAAAACAGTCCTTCCCAAACAAGGGAGCTGTTTTCTGAACTTTTTTTTTTTTTTTCTGAGATGGAGTCTTCCTCTGTCACCCAGGCTGGAGTGCAGAGGCACCATCTCAGCTCTTTGCAACCTCTGCCTCCTGGGGTCAAGCGATTCTCCCGCCTCAGCCTCCAGAGTAGCTGGGATCACAGGCACCTGCCACCAGGCCTGACTAATTTTTGTATTTTTAGTAGAGACAGGGTTTCGCTATGTTAGCCAGCCTGGTCTTGAACCCCTGGGCTCAAGTGATCCTTCTGCCTCACCCTCCCAAAGTGCTGGGATTACAGGCATGAGCCACCATGCATAGGCTTCAACTTTGAATTCAGCTGATCGTATCTTCTTTTTGATATTTAAAATCTAAATATTATACTCTCTTGGCTCTGGTCTATGATAAACTGTTCCATCCTTTTCTAACACTCCAGGCTATATTCAAACTTCAGCCTTCTAAATAAGAATATATTCAAGGCTGTTCTGTCACTCTAAATTTGTTTCTCAAAAAAAAAAATTACATATTCTTGTGAATGTCAACCCCTCTTTACAGTTCATTAACAAATTTCTTCCCTTGGCTTTTCTCCTAAATGAATATCTCACATCTCCACCTACATGTATGCTCAAATGTAACATGTCAACACCTAAACTCACCCAACATCAGCACAATATATTCTTCTCAAGTGTACATGGAACATTCTCCAAAACAGACCATATATTAGGCTACAAAGTAAGTCTTAATACATTTAAAGAAATTGAGATCTTACAAAGTATGTTTTCTGATCATAATGGAAATGAAAAACCAACAGCAGATGAAAAACTAACAAATTCACAAATATGGGAAAATTTGTGAATCATAACCAATAGATCAAAGGAAAAAATCATGAAGGAAATTAGAAACCGTCTTGAGACAAATGAAAATGAAAACACAATACACTAAAACTTACAGGATGCAGTGAATGCAGGGCTAAAAGAAAAAATTAAAGCTGTAAACCTTTACATTAAAAAAACAAGAAAATTCTCAACTCAATAACCTAACCATACACCTCAAGGAACCAGAAAAAAGTAAACTACACCAAAGCTAGCAGAAGGAAGAAAATAGTAAAGATTAGAGTGAGAACAAACAGAGAACAGAAAAACATGGAGACAAATTACAAAACCAGAAGCTGATTCTTTGAAAAAGTTGAGAAAACTCTAGCTAGTTCGATTAACCAAAAAATAAATAAAGAGAGACAGAGAGAAAGAACACCAAATTACTAAATATAGGAAAGTGGTGACACAGCCAGGCGCAGTGGCTCATGCCTGTAATCCCACCACTTTGGGAAGCCGAGGCAGGTGAATTTCTTGAGGTCAGGAGTTTAAGACCAGTCTGACCAATGTGGTAAAGCCCCTGTCTCTACCAAGAAGACAAAAATTACACAGGCATGGTGGTGCACGCCTGTAGTCCCAGCTACTAGGGAGGCTGAGGCAGGAGTATTGCTTGAACCCAGGAGGTGGAGGGTGCAGTAAGCCAAGATCGTGTCACTGCACTCCAGCCTGGATGAAAGAACAAGACTCCATAAAAAAAAAAAAAAAAGTGGTGACACTACTTATTTACAAAACTAAAAAGGATGATGAGATGATACCATGTAAAACTGTATGCCAACAATTTGAATAATCTGGACAAAATGGACAAATCCCTACAAACACACAATCTACCAAAACTAACTCATAAGGAAATAGAAAATCTAAATAGAACTATAACTAGTAAAGGGATCAAATCAGTAATCAAAAAGCTCCCAAAGGAAAGGTCAGGACCAGATAGCTTTCACAGGTTGATTCTACCCAAAATTTAAAGAAGAAAGTTTCTCAAACACTTCCAAAAAATTAAAGAGAAGGGAACACTTCTCCCCCTTAGTTCCATGAGTCCAATATTACTCTGATACCAAAGCCAGACAAAAATACTACAAGAAAACTACAGGCCAATATACCTTAGGAATAGTGATGAAAAACTCAACAAAATCAGCAGCCTATTAAAAGGATGACACACCATGACCAAGTGAAACTTACTCCAGGAGCACAAGATGCTTCAACAACAACAAAAAATCAATGTAACACACCACATTAATAGAATGAAGAAGAAACTCCACATGATCATCTGAATCGATACAGAAAAACCACTTGACAAATTTCAACACATTTCATGATTAAAAAAAAAAAAAAACCTCAAGCTAGGAACAGAAGGAAATTTCCTCAACATAATAAAAGCCATATATTAAAAACCAATAGCTAACAACATACTCAATAGTGAAAGACTGAAAGTTCTCCCCCTAATATCAGGAACAGGATGAAGATACCCACTTTTTCTACTTCTATTTGACATAATACTAGAAATTCTAGACAGGGCAATTAGGCAAGAAAAAGATGGAAAAGTCATCCAAGTTGGACAGAAAGAAGCAAAATTATGTCTATTCACAGATGATATATATGTAGAAATCCCTAAAGATGACACATACACACCAAAAACAAACTGATAGAGCTAATAAATTCAAAGTCATAGAATACAAAGTCAGCACACAAAAATCAGGTGGATTTCTATACATTCACAACGAAAAATACAAGAAGGAAATTAAGAAAACAATTCCACTTATGATAGCATCAAAAAGAAAATATTTAGGAATTAATCAATGAGGGGAAAAACTTATACAATAAAAAACTACCAACATTGCTGAAAGAAATTAAACATAAATAAATGGAAAGATATCCCATGTTCCTAGATTGTTAAAGTAACAATATTACCCAAAGCAATATACAGATTCAATGCAACCCCTATCAAAATCCCAATGGTCTTTTTTGCAAAAAGAAAGAGAAAAACCCATCCTAAAATTCATATGAATCTCAAAGAACCACATAATAGTCAGAAGTATCTTGAGAAAGAATAAAGTTGGAGAACTCACACTTTCTTATTTGAAAACTTACTACAAAGCTACAGTAATCAAAACAATGTGGTACTAGCATAAGCACAGTCATATAGACCAATGGAATAGACAGCCTAGAAAGAAACCTCACATATATGACCAAACAATTTTTGAAAAAAGTAGTAAGACCATTCAATGGAGAAAGAACAGTCTTTTCAACAAATGATGCTAGGAAAACTGATTATCCAGATGCAAAAGAATGAAGATGGACCCTTCCCTTACATCATATACAAAAATTAAATCAAAATAGATCAAAGACCAAAACTTAACAGTAAAGCTATAAAACTCCTAGGAGAAAACATAGGAAAGAAATGTTTCCAACATTGGATTTGGCAAAGATTTCTGGTATATGATGCCAAAAGAGCACAGACAACAAAAGAAAAAACAGATAAATTGGACTTCATCCAAATAAAAACTTGTGTCTATCAAGGACACTATCAAGAAGATGAAACAACAATCCACAGAGTGGGAGAAAATACTTGCAAATAATATATCTCATAAGGGATTAATAACCAGAATATATTAAAAATTCCTGTAACTAAAAAAATAAAATTTAGAGCCTTACACTTTACAGTTTTTTTTAAAAAAACTGAAAATAGATGAACCAAGCCATTGCCTGAAGAAATAACAATATAAATAAAATGAAAGCTAAAATTAATGAAACAGAAAAATTTAAATGCTAGGAAACGGCCAGGCGTGGTGGCTCATGCCTGTAATCCCCGCACTTTGGGAGGCTGAGGTGGGTGGATCACAAGGTCAGGAGTTTGAGAATAGCCTGACCAACGTAGTGAAACCCCATCTCTATTAAAAATACAAAAATTAGCTGGGCATGGTGTCCGGCACCTGTAATCCCAGCTACTCAGGATGCTGAGGCAGGAGAATTACTTGAACCTGGGAGGCGGAGGTTGCAGTGAGCTGAGATCACGCCACTCCACTCCAGCCTGGGTGATAGAGCAAGACTCTGTCTCAAAAACAACAACAAAAAAAATCAAAGTCTAGGTTTTAAAGACCAATAAAATAGTAAACATGAAAGAGGAAAAAGAGAAATGAGGAAACAGTTACAAACATGGATACTGAAGATAATTATATGAGAATATAGAAATATAATACAACTTTTATATAATTGTACAAGTAAAATATATAAATATTATATACAACTCTGCACTGATAAAATTGAAAATATATTTTCTGGCAAAGAATAAACCATCAAAAGTGACTTAAAAAAAAGAAATTCTTCAAAAAATTAAAAATAGAATAAAGATATGATCCAGCAATTCCACTTCTAGATATATATTCAGAATAATTAAAAGCAGGGCTTTGAAGTTTTTTGTACTCCCATGTTCACAGTAGCATTATTTATAATAGCCAAAAGGTGGAAACCGAAAAATCCATTGGCAGATAAATTTAGATAAATAGAATGTTGGTATATACATACAATGGAATATCATTCAGCCTTAAAGAGGAAGAGAATCTGACATGCTACAACATGGATGAATACTATTTCAGCCATAAAGAAATAATGAAATCCTGTCTTTCAAGGCACCGTGAATGGAACTGGAGGACATTATGCTAAGTAAAATAAGCCCATGTCAAAAAGGCAAATACTGTATGATTCCACTTATGTGAGGTATACAAATTCAGACAGACAGAAAGTAGAAGGATGGTTGCAGGAGTTGCGGGTAGGGAAGAATGGAGAGCTGTTGAATAGATACAGAATTTGTTTTGCACAATGAAAAGGTTTTGGAGATTGGTTGCACAACAATGTGAAAGATGGTGCTACTAAACTGTACACTGAAAAATGGTTAAGATGGTAAATTTTATGTTATGTGTATTCTACCACATAAAAAATTTTAAAAAGAGACAGAAAAACTACATAGATCCATAAGGCAGCTCAAATAAAAGGTGATTAATGAGTTATTTTAAATAGACAGAGATAGATAGGCTAGTTCTAGAAATAGCATAAGAAACCAGTAGTAGTACTTGACTTAGGAAGAAAAGTATAAACTGAAGGTCAAGAGGGAATAGGAAGCTTACTTTTCCACTGAGTTCCCTTCCTGAGGTATAGTGAAAATTTCCATTATGTCAATTTTTTTTTCTTTAAAACTAATGATAAGTGGTAAAGTGGAAGATGGCCAAATAGGAACAGCTCCAGTCTACAGCTCCCAGCATGAGCAACGCAGAAGATGGGTGATTTCTGCATTTCCAACTGAGGTATTGGGTTCATCTCACTGGGGCTTGTCGGACAGTGGGTGCAGGACAGTGGGTGCAGCGCACCGAGCATGAGCCGATGCAGGTCAAGGCATCACCTCACCCCGGAAGTGCAAGGGGTCAGGGAATTCCCTTTCATAGCCAAGCAAAGCTGTGACAGAAGGCACCTAGAAAATTGGGTCACTCTCACCCTAATACTGCGCTTTTCCAATGGTCTTAGCAAATGGCACAATTATATCCCGTGCCTGGCTTGGAGGGTCCCATGCCCATGGAGCCTTACTCATTGCTAGCACAGCAGTCTGAGATCGAACTGCAAGGTGGCAGTGAGGCTGGGGGAGGGGTGCCCGCATTTGCTGAGGCTTGAGTAGGTAAACAAAGCGGCCGGGAAGCTCGAGCTGGATGGAGCCCACCGCAGCTCCAGGAGGGCTGCCTGCCTCTGTAGACTCCACCTCTGGGGGCAGGACCTAGCTGAACAAAAGGCAGAAGAAACCTCTGCAGACTTAAATGTCCCTGTCTGACAGCTTTGAAGAGAGTAGTGGTTCTCCCAGCACAGAGTTTGAGATCTGAGAATGGACAGACTGTCTCCTCAAGTGGGTCCCTGAACCCCGAGTAGCCTAACTGGGAGGCACCCCTGAGTAGGGGCAGACTGACACCTCACATGGCCGGGTACCCCTCTGAGATGAAACTTCCAGAGGAACGATCAGGCAGCAACATTTGCTGTTCAGCAATATTCGCTGTTCTGCAGCCTCTGCTTCTGATACCCAGGCAAACAGGGTCTGGAGTGGACCTCCAGCAAACTCCAACAGACCTGCAGCTGAGGGTCCTGACTGTTAGAAGGAAAACTGACAAACAGAAAGGACATCCACACCAAAACCCCGTCTGTACATCACCATGATCAAAGACCAAAGGCAGATAAAACCACAAAGATGGGGAGAAACCAGAGCAGAAAAGCTGAAAATTCTGAAAATCAGAGTGCCTCTTCTCCTCCAAAGGAACACAGCTCCTCACCAGCAACAGAACAAAGCTGGACAGAGAATGACTTTGATGAGTTGAGAGAAGAAGGCTTCAGACGATCAGTAATAACAAACTTCTCCGAGCTAAAGGAGGATGTTCGAACCCATCGCAAAGAAGCTAAAAACCTCGATAAAAGATTAGACGAATTTCTAACTGAATAACCAGTGTAGAGAAGTCCTTAACTGACCTGATGGAGCTGAAAACCATGGCACAAGAACTATGTGACACATGCACAAGCTTCGGTAGCTGATTTGATCAAGTGGAAGAAAGGGTATCAGTGATTGAAGACCAAATGAATGAAATGAAGTGAGAAGAGAAGCTTAGAGAAAAAAGAGTAAAAAGAAATGAACAAAGCCTCCAAGAAATGTGGGACTATGTGAAAAGACCAAAACTATGTCTGATTGGTGTACCTGAAAGTGACGGGGAGAATGGAACCAAGTTGGAAAACACTCTGCAGGATATTATCCAGGAGAACTTCCCCAACTTAGCGAGGCAAGTTAACATTCAAATTGAGGAAATACAGAGAATGCCACAAAGATACTCAAGAAGAGCAACTCCAAGACATGTAATTGTCAGATTCACCAAAGCTGAAATGAAGGAAAAAAATGTTAAGGGCAGCTAGAGAGAAAGGTCGGGTTACTCACAAAGGGAAGCCCATCAGACTAACAGCAGATCTCTCAGCAGAAACTCTACAAGCCAGAAGAGACTGGGGGCCAATATTCAACATTCTTAAAGAAAAGAATTTGCAACCCAGAATTTCATATCCAGCCAAACTAAGCTTCATAAGTGAAGGAGAAATAAAATACTTTACAGACAAGCAAATGCTGAGAGATTTTTATCACCACCAGACCTGCCCTACAAGAGTTCCTGAAGGAAGCACTAAATATGGAAAGGAACAACCACCGGTAGCAGCCACTGCAAAAACATCCCAAATTGTAAAGACCATCGAGGCTAGGAAGAAACTGCATCAACTAACGAGCAAAATAAGCAGCTAACATCATAATGACAGGATCAAATTCACACATAACAATATTAACCTTAAATGTAAATGGGATAAATGCTCCAATTAAAGGACACAGACTGGAAATTGGATAAAGAGTCAAGACCCATCAGTGCACTGTATTCAGGAGACCCATCTCATGTGCAGAGACACACATGGGCTCAAAATAAAGGGATGGAGAAAGATCTACCAAGCAAATGGAAAACAAAAAAATGCAGGGGTTGCAATCCTAGTCTCTGATAAAACAGACTTTAAACCAACAAAGGTCAGAAGAGACAAAGAAGGCCATTACATAATGGTAAAGGGATCAATTCAACAAGAAGAGCTAACTATCCTAAATATATATGCACCCAATACAGGAGCACCCAGATTCATAAAGCAAGTCCTTAGAGACCTACAAAGAGACTCAGACTCCCACATAATAATAATGGGAGACTTTAACACCCCACTGTCAACATTAGACAGATCCACGAGACAGAAAGTTAACAAGGATATCCAGGAATTGAACTCAGCTCTGCACCAAGTGGACCTAATAGACATCTACAGAACTCTCCACCCCAAATCAACAGAATATACATTTTTTTCAGCACCACACCACACCTATTCCAAAATTGACCACATAGTTGGAAGTAAAGCACTCCTCAGCAAATGTAAAAGAACAGAAATTATAACAAACTATCTCTCAGACCACAGTGCAATCAAACTAGAACTCAGGATTAAGAAACTCACTCAAAACCACTCAACTACATGGAAACTGAACAACCTGCTCCTGAATGACTACTGGGTACATAAGGAAATGAATGCAGAAATAAAGATGTTCTTTGAAACCAATGAGAACAAAGACACAACATACCAGAATCTGTGGGACACATTTAAAGCAGTGTGTAGAGGGAAATTTATAGCACTAAATGCCCACAACAGAAAGCAGGAAAGATCTAAAACTGACACCCTAACATCACAATTAAAAGAACTAGAGAAGCAAGAGCAAACACATTCAAAAGCTAGCAGAAGGCAAGAAATAACTAAGATCAGAGCAGAACTGAAGGAGACAGAGACACAAAAAACCCTTCAAAAAATCAATGAATCCAGGAGATGTTTTTGGAAAAGATCAACAAAATTGATAGACCGCTAGCAAGACTAATAAAGAAGAGAGAAGAATCAAATAGATGCAATAAAAAATGATAAAGGGGATATCACCACCGATCCCACAGAAATACAAACTATCATCAGAGAATAGTATAAACACCTCTATGCAAATAAACTAGAAAATCTCGAAGAAATGGATAAATTCCTGGACACAGAACACCCTGCCAAGACAAAACCAGGAAGAAGTTGAATCCCTGAATAGACCATAATAGGTTCTGAAATTGAGGCAATAATTAATAGCCTACCAACCAAAAAGAGTCTAGGACCAGATGGATTCACAGCCGAATTCTACCAGAGGTACAAAGAGGAGCTGGTACCATTCCTTCTGAAACTATTCCAATCAATAGAAAAAGAGGGAATCCTCCCTAATTCATTTTATGAGGCCAACATCATCCTGATACCAAAGCCTGGCACAGACACAACAAAAAGAGAATTTTAGACCAATATCCCTGATGAACATCAATGCAAAAATCCTCAATAAAATCCTGGCAAACCAAATCCAGCAGCATATCAAAAAGCTTATCCACCACGATCAAGTTGGCTTTGTCCCTGGGATGCAAGGCTTGTTCAACATACACAAATCAATAAATGTAATCCAGCATATAAACAGAACAAATGACAAAAACCACATGATCATCTCAATAGATGCAGAAAAGGCCTTCGACAAAATTCAACAACACTTCATGCTAAAAACTCTCAATAAACTAAGTATTGATGGGATGTATCTCAAAATAATAAGAGCTATTTATGACAAACCCACAACTAATATCATACTGAATGGGCAAAAACTGGAAGCATTCCCTTTGAAAACTGGCACAAGACAGGGATGCCCTCTCTCACCACTCCTATTCAACATAGTGTTGGAAGTTCTGGCCAGGGCAGTCAGGCAAGAGAAAGAAATAAATGGTATTCAACTAGGGAAAGAGGAAGTCAAATTGTCCCTGTTTGCAGATGACATGATTGTATATTTAGAAAATCCCATCATCTCAGTCCAAAATCTCCTTAAGCTGATAAGCAACTTCAGCAAAATCTCAGGATACAACATCAATGTGCAAAAATCACAAGCATTCCTATACACCAATAACAGACAAACAGAGAGCCAAATCTTGAGTGAACTCCCATTCACAATTGCTTCAAAGAAAATAAAATACCTAGGAATCCAGCTTACAAGGGATGTGAAGGACCTCTTCAAGGAGAACTACAAACCACTGCTCAATGAAATAAAAGAGGATACAAACAAATGGAAGAACATTCCATGCTCATGGATAGGAAGAATCAATATTGTGAAAATGGCCATACTGCCCAAGGTAATTTACAGATTCAATGCTATCCCCATCAAGCTACCAATGACTTTCTTCACAGAATTGGAAAAAACTACTTTAAAGATCATATAGAACCACAAAAGAGCCCGCATTGCCAAGACTATCCTAAGCCAAAAGAACAAAGCTGGAGGCATCACACTACCTGACTTCAGACTATACTACAACTCTGCAGTAACCAAAACAGCATGGTACTGGTACCAAAACAGAGATACAGACCAATGGAACAGAATAGAGTCCTAGGAAATAATACCACACATCTACAACCATCTGATCTTTGACAAACCTGACAAAAACAAGAAATGAGGAAAGGATTCCCTATTTAATAAATGGTGCTGGGAAACCTACCTAGCCATATGTAGAAAGCTGATACTGGATCCCTTCCTTACACCTTATATAAAAATTAATTCAAGATGGATTAAAGACTTAAATGTTAGGCCTAAAGCCATAAAAACCCTAGAAGAAAACCTAGGCAATACTATTCAGGACGTAGGCATGGGCAAGGACTTCATGACTAGAACACCAAAAGCAATGGCGACAAAAGCCAAAATTGACAAATGGGATCTAATCAAACTAAAGAGCTTCTGCACAGCAAAAGAAACTACCATCAGAGTGAACAGGCAACCTACAGGGTGGGAGAGAATTTTTACAATCTACCCATCTGACAAAGGGCTAATATCCAGAATTTACAAAGAACTGAAACAAATTTACAAGAAAAAATCAAACAACGCCATCAAAAAGTGGGCAAAGGATATGAACAGTCACATTTATGCCGGCAAAAGACACATGAAAAAATGCTCATCATCACTGGCCATCAGAGAAATGCAAATCAAAACCACAAGGAGATTAAATATGAATTATTAGCTTTAAGGTATAATTAACATATAATGAGCATCAGCAATTTGAAGTGTACAACTTAACGAACTTTCAGAATAGTCATGTAACCACAACCATGATCATGACATAGAACATTTCAAACATCACCACAATCAGTCCCCTACATTTCCTTTGCAATAAATTTCCTCCCTTAACTCCTACTCCTGGCATCCACTGATCTGCTTTCTGTCCTGAATTTTGTCTTCTCTAGAAATTTTAAAAGAAATCACATAGTATGTCATCTCTCTTTCACTTAGCATAATATTTTTGAGATTCACGAATATTGCCGAGTCAGTAGTTAGTTCCTTTTTATTGCTGAATAGTATTCCATTCTTTCAAAGTATCACTGTTGGTTTATTCATTCACAAGTTAATGGACATTTGGGGCTGTTTACAAATTTAGGTTATTATAAATAATATGTACACTCGAGTATGCATCCTTGAGTGAAGGTATATGCCTTTGTGTGATTTTTTATTTTCATATTATAGGTACACAACATAATTTTCATTTTCTTCACAATTGTAACTTGCCTTCAAGATCTGTATATATTGATTAATATTCACAGATATAAATGTTAAAATCTATACACACGTATTCTTGTTCCTAATCTTATGTTATCATTCTATGCTTGAAAATTTATAACATATTTTTAATGCTAGTATCTACTGTTTGATTCCTTTCTGAATGACTTTTTTTCAGGTTTATTGAGGTATGATTGAAAAATAAAAATTGTATATATTTAAGGTGTACAAAACATGATGTTCTGATAAACTTATACATTCTAAAATGAGTACCACAATCAAGGTAATTAACATATCCATTACGTCATACAGTTTACCTCTGAAAGAGAAGGTAAGAATACTTGAGATAAGATACTTTCTTACCTTATTAGTGGGGCAAAAAGTTGTAAAGATTGCAAAACAGCTAATCCTGATAAAAATGCAGGAAAATAGGCATTTCAGTGGGGATGAAGCTGTGACCTGCTGCAACTACTGGGGAACATAAATCTAGTAATAACTATTACAAATTTTAAATGCAAATGTTCGTGACACAGAAACCCCAGATTTGGGATTCTAGTCTATAGAATTAAGAGCATCAGTTAAGAAGAATGTATGAACAAGATATTTATTAAGACTTAGCTATGGTGTCAAAAAACTGAAAACATCTGAATATCCACCCATTCAGTGAAATGGTCGAGTAAATGAGGCTCATTAGTGTAACAGAATGTTACCTAATATTGAAAGGTATGTGTTAGATCTCTATCAACTATTTTAAGGAACAGCTAAAATATTTTCTTAAATAAAGCAAGATGCAAAGTAATGAGCATAAAATAATTTCATTTTAAAATACAACCACCACCATCCTATGTATGTATGTGTATTTTGCATTTGAATGTACGAGTAAGTAAATGTGAGTGGAAGGATACACATCAGCCAATAGCACTAATTAGCTCAGAGGGAATGTGAGTAGAAAAGGGTGAGAATACTATTTTATTTTATTATTTTATTTTTTGTTTTTTGAGATGGACTCTCGCTCTGTCGCCCAGGCTGGAGTGCAGTGGCATGATCTCAGCTCACTGCAACCTCTACCTCCCAGGTTCAAGCAATTCTCCCTGCCTCAGCCTCCTGAGTAGCTGGGATCACAGGCGCCTGCCACTACATCCAGTTAATTTTTTTTTTGTAATACACTTTTAAAAATACATTTTTTTAGCCAGGCGCGGTGGCTCACACTTGTAATCCCAGCACTTTCAGAGGCTGAGGCAGGTGGATTACCTGAGGGTGGGAGTTTGAGACCAGCTTGACCAACATGGAGAAATCCCATCTCTACTATAAATACAAAATTAGCCGGGCATGGTGGCACATGCCTGTAATCCCAGCTACTTGGGAGGTTGAGGCAGGAGAATTGCTTGAACCCAGGAGGCAGTGGTTGCAGTCAGCCAAGATTGTGCCATTGCACTCCAACCTGGGCAACAAGAGCGAAACTCCATCTCAAAAAAAAAAAAAAAATTAAATCCAGAAAGATTTAAAAATCTAAACTTTAAAATCTAGAAAATATCAGAGAAAAATTAAAAAGTACACTTCAAAAATCTTGGCATATGCCAGACAAAAAGGTCACATGCTGAATGATTCCATTTATATCAAATGTCTAGTTTAGAATAAGTAAATCCATAGAGACAAAAAACTAGAATAGTGGTTGCCAAGGGCCATGACGGGAGAGGGACAGGGAGTGATTACTGATGGGTTTCTTTTTGGGAAGATGAAAATGTTCTGCACTGAAACAGTGGTGATTGATGACTGTACAACTTTGTTAATCCAGGGCCTGTGCCAGGGAAGGGCCAATGCAAGGGCAGGGCAGGGACAGGGTGGCACAGGGCCAAGACCGGGCCAGGGTGGGGCCAGGGCAGGGCAGGGCCAGGACAGGCCAGGTAATGGTAGGGCAGGTCCAGGGCAGGGGCAGGGCAGGGCCAGGTCGAATGCTAAGGCCATGCCCAGAGCAGGGTCAAGGCAGACGCAGGGCCACATCATGGCAGGGCCAGGTTAGCACAGGGCCGAGGAAAGGCCAGGGCAGGTAGGAGCCAGGGCAGGGCCAGGGCCAAGGCAGTGCCAGGGCCAGGACAGGGCCAGAAGCAGGGCAGGGCCACAGCTAGGTCAGGACCAGGGCCAAGTCAGGATCAGGGCTATCGTAGGACCAGTGGCAGGGTAAGGGCCACGACAGGACCAGGGGCAGGGCCATGGGCATGGCCAAGGCAGGGCTCCAGCCTGGGCAGTGTTGGGCTGGGCAGGGCCAGGGTAGTATAGTGCCCAGTCAGGGCTGGGCCAGGGCAGGACCAGAACCAGGGCAGGGCCAGAGCCAGGGTAGAACCAGGCAGGGTCACAGCCAGGGACATGACAGGACCAAGGCCAGGGCCAGAAGCAGGGCAGAACCAGGGCCAGGGCAGGGACATGGCAGGGCCAGGGCTTAAGACAGGGCCAGGTCAGGGCCAGGGCTATGGCAGGACCAGGGCCAGTGGAGGGCCAGGGCAGGGTGAGGGTAGCACAGGGCCAAGGCAGGGCAGGGTCAGTGTAGAGCAAGGACCAGGCCAGGGTATGGCAGGGCACAGCCAGGGAAGTCTAGGGCCAGAGCCAGGTCCGGGGCATGGACAGGGCAGGGCCAGAAACATGGCAGGACCAGAAAGGGGCCAGGGCAAGGGCAGGCCAGGGAAGGACCAGGGAAAAAGCATGGCCAGGGAGGGGCCAGGGCAAGGGGAGGGCCAGGGCAGAACCAGGGCCAGGGCAGGCCAAATGCAGGGCCAGGGTAGGGTGAGGGTAGGGCCAGGGCGAGGTCAGGGCCAGGGCAAGACTAAGATAGCACAGGGCCAAGGCCAAAGCCAGGGCAGGGGCAGGAGCAGGCCTGCATGAGGGCAGGACCAGGGCCAGGGATATGGCAGGACCAGGGGCAGGGCCAGGGCCAGGGCTGTGCCAGGACAGAACAAGAGCAGAGCAGGGCAGTACCAGAGCCAGGCCATAGAGAGGGTAGGGCAAATGCCAAGGCAAGGCCAGGGTAGTGCCAGGGCTGAGGCAAGGTCAGGGAAGGTCCAGGGCTGAGTCAGGGCTAGACCCAAGACAGGGGCAAAGGCCGGGGCAGATCTAGGGCACAAGCAGGGCAGGCTAGGGCAGGGCAATAGCAAGACCAGGCCATGGCAGGGCCAGCCCAGGATAGAACAGGGCACAGGCAGGGCAGGGCCAGGGACGCGGCTGGGACAGGACAAGGACCAGGGCAAGGGTATGGCCAGGGCAGAGGTAGGGCCAGAGCCAGGGTCTGGGCAGGGACAAGGCAGGTCCATTGCAGGGCCAGAGTTCAGACCAGGGCCAGAGCAGGGCCGGGGCAGGGCCAGGGCCAGGACCAGGAAAGGGCAATGTCAGGACCAGGGCCATGGCAGGACCAGCAACAGGACTAGGGTGAGGACAGGGACAGGGACAGGGACAGGGACAGGGTCAGGGCTAGGGCCAGAATAGCATGCCAGGGTAGGGCCAGGGCAAATCAGGGCCAGGACAGGGTCAGGCCCAGGGCTAGGCCAGGTATGGCCTTAAGCAGCGAAGGCCAGGGCCAAGGTCCCTGCCAGGGCCAGGGCAGAGCCAAGACAGTGGCAGCTCCAGGGCAGGGCCAGGGTTAGGACCATGGACATGTCCAAGGCCAGTGCCAGGGAAAGGGCAAGGGTAGGGGGCAGGGTCAGGGTCATCTAAAAACCAGGGACAAAGCCAGGCCCAGAGCAGGGCCAGGACAGGTACCTGGCAGGGCCAGGGTCAGGGACAGGGCCATGGCAGGGCCAGGGCCACAGCCAGGTCTGTGCTATAGCCAGGTACAAGACAGGGCTCAGGCAAGGCTAGGGTGAAGGCCAAGGTAGGGCCAGGGCAGGGTCAAAGCCAGGCTAGGGCCAAGGCAGGGCCAGGGCAGGCAGGACAGGTCCAGGAAAGCATAGGGCCAAGGCAGGGCAGGGCCAGGCCAGTGCCAAGACCAAGGCAGGGACAGGGCCATGGCCATGGCCTGGGCAGCACCAGGTTCGGGGCAGGAGCAAAAGAAGGGCAAGGACAGTTCAGGTTCTTGGCACAGCCGGGGTCCAGGACAGGGTCAGGGTAGGGCCAAGGCAGGGTCTGGGCCATGGTAAGACCAGCGACAGGGCTGGGGCTAAGATAGTGACAGGGCCAGAGTCAGGGCAAGGACCAGAGCAGTGCAAGGCCAGGGTAGGGCCAGTATTTCAGGGTCAGGACAGGGTCAGGGCCAGGGCAGAACCAGGGTAAATTCTCAAGCCAGGAAGGGCCAGGGCCAGGAGAGGTCCAGGGTCTGTGTTAGGGCACGAGCAGGGCCAGACCAGGGTAAGGGTCAGGGCCAGGGCCAGGGTAGGGACAGGGCAAGAAACATGGCAGGACCAGGGGCAACACCAAGGCCAGAGCTGAGCCAGGGCTGAGTCAGGGCTGAGTCAGGGCAAGGCATGGTATGGCCAGTGCAGGACAGGACCAGAGCCGGTCCATAGAGAGAGCAGGGCCGATGCCAAGGCAGAGCCAGGCTGGTGCCAAAGCTGAGGCAGTGTCAGGGCATGTCCAGGGCGGGGCCAGGGCCAGAACCGAGCCAGGGCACGGCCAAGGCAGGGTAAGGCAGGGCAATGGCACGGCCGGGTCAGTGCCAGGACAAGGCAGAACAGGACAAGGCAATGGTAGGGGCAGAGCAGGGACAGGCCAAAAGAGGGTCAAGTCACTTCAGGGCCGGGGCAGGGCCAGGGCCAGGGATATGGCAGGACAAAGACCAGGGCCAGGGTCAGGGCCAGGTCTGGGCTAGGGCCAGGTCCAGAGCAGGCCCTAGCCAAGACTAGGGTGAGAGCCAAGGTAGGGCCAGGGCAGGGTCAAAGCCAGAGTAGGGTGAGGGCAGGGCCAGGGCAGGGTGATGACACAGCCAGAGCACGGCAGGGCAAGGTGGTGGCAAGACCAGGGCAGACTACTGCCAGCTCAGGGCCAGGGAAAGGCCAGGGCCAGGACAGAACCAAGAAAGAGTCTGGGTCAGGGCCAGGAGCAAGGCAGAGCAGGGCCAGGGCCATGGCAGAGTCAGCAGGTCCTTGGCAGGATCAGGTTCCAGGCCAGGTCCAGGGCACAGGCAGGGGCAGGGCCTGGATAAGGGCAGAGCCAGGGATATGGCAGGACCAGGGTCAGGGCCAGGGCCAGGGCCCAGGCTGGGCCAGGGCAGGGCCAGAGCCAGGCCATAGTGAGGGCAGGGCAAAAGCCACGGCAAGGTCAGGGCAGGTCCAGGGAGCGGCCAGCGTCAGGCAGGTCCAGGGCACAACCAGGGCAGGGTAAGGCAGGGCAATGGCACCACTGGGCCATGACAGGGCAAGGTCAGTGCCAGGAGAGGGCAGAACAGGCAGGGCCATGGTGGGGCCAGGGCAGGGACAGGCCAAGGCAGGGCCGGGACAAATCAGGGCCAGGACATGTCCAAGGCCAGGTCAGGGCCAGAACAGGACCAGGACCATGACCATTGGCAGGGCCAGTGCTATGGCAGTGCCAGGGTCAGGACAGGGGGCAGGGCCAGAGCCAAAGCTGGGTCAGCACAGATTCAGGGAAGGTCCAGGGCAGAGGTGGGGCCAGGGCCTGAGCCAGGGAAGGGCCAGTGCAAGGGCAGGACCAGAGCAGGGACAGGGCAGCACAGGGCCAAGACAGGGCCAGGGTGGGACCAGAGCAGGGCAGGGCTGAGACAGTCCAGGTAATGGCAGGGCAGGTCCAGGGCAAGGCAGGGCAGGGCAGTACAGGGCCAGCTCCACAGCACGGGCAGGGCATAGCCAGGCCCATTGTGAATGCATCGGCCCTCCCTACAAGGCTCCTACCACCTGGCCACTGCCGCAGCCTGGCCACTGCTGTAGGCCTGCCCCCACCCTGGCCGCAGCCGCCTGCCCTCCTACTGCTCCAGCATGCTGCAGTCTGCATTGCCACCACCAGCCCACAGAGAAGCAAGCTGTGGTGTTGCAGGCTCCAGGTGTCTCCTCCTCCTCCTGGCACGGAGCAGCTGGGAGGGCAAAGCCAGAAAATCCTAGAGGAAGATGCAAGGGGTGGTAGTGTCAGAGCCTCACTTTGTCACGCCAGCCACTGGGTGGCAGGGGCCAGTTTCAGTGAAGGCACTCACACCCACCCTTCAAAGTCCTTTTGGCCCAAGCTGGCCAGAAACTGGGGCCTGGGGTGGGTGCTGGAGACACCATAGTGCCTGGCTCCCAACTCCACAGGAACTGCTGGGCCCACTTGGGCTGCACTCCTCGGGGAGCAGGAGCAGCAGAAACTCAGACCCAGCCAACCCTCTGCACCCAGGTGCCACTTCCTGTTCCGGATGCCTCCACGTACAGGCCCCTGTCCCCAGTGGTGTCTGCTACTCCATACTGGGGGGTGCCAGGCAGTCTCTGTGGCACAGACCCAGAGTGCATGGGCCCAGGAACTACGGTGGGTGTAGGGGCTCTGCCATGCTCAGGATTTCCACAGAAACACTGTGTCTGCCGTGCTCCAGTATGAGCAAGAGTAGGTTGCCCTCTGGAGTGTGGGGTCCAGGGAGAGGAGAACCGCTCCTTCCTTGGATGCCAGCACTGTCGCTGCCAACTCTGCTGACCGTCGCCAGCAGTGCAGCCCCCAACAGTACCCAACTTGCCCCCCTCCATGGCTAGTCCTGCCCTCAATAGCACCCCCCACCTCCACCCCCCAAAACGCCACCAGCAGTGTATACCCGATAGTGCCCTAACCTGTCCTCCTCTATGGGCATTGCAGTCCCAGAGAGCACCCATAACACGCCCCCCACCATGGGCAGTGCAGCCCCATATAATGCTACCAACCAGTACCCCCAGTGCAGGCAGTGACACCCTAGATAGCGCCCCCAACCCACCCCACACTGTGAAAAGTGCAGCCCTGATGGCCCCTATCCTATCACTCTGGTCATGCTGCAGTCTCTGTCACCACCACCACCAACCACAGTGAGGCAAGCCACTGGGCCATAGGCTCTAGCCTCCAGCAGCCGGGCACGGAGCAGCTCTTGCTGATGGCTGTCTGCTACCACTCCGACCACGCTGCTGTCTCCATGGCCATCTTCTTTGACTACAAAAGAATAAAACTAGGTATCAATAAGAATAATAATTTTGGAAACCATACAGTCACATGGAAGTTAAATAATACGCTCCTGAATGAATGACTAGTGGGTCAATGAAGATACTAAGATGGAAATTGAAAAATTTCATGAAACAAATGGTAATGAAGACACAATATACCAAAACTTATGATATGCCAATAACAGTACAAAGGCAGAGATTCATAGCTATAAGTGCCTACCATCCAAACAGAAGAAAAACTTCAAATAAACAATACATCTTAAAGAACTAGTAAAGTAAGAACAAACTAAACCCAAAATAAGAAAAGAAATAATAAAGATCGTAACAGAAATAAAGTTGAAATTAAAAAAATACACAAGATTAAACAAAAAGTTGGTTTTCTGGAAAGCTACACAAAACTGACAAACTTTTAGCCAGGCTGACTAAGAAAAAAGAGAGAAGATTCAAATAAATAAAATCAAAAAATAATATAGGAGACATTACAACTGATACTTCAGAAATTCAAAGGATCTTAACTGGCTATTATATGCCAATAAATTAGAAAGCCTAGTAGAAATGCTAGATGCATATAACCTACCTAGGTTGAACAGTGAAAACATCCAAGACCAGAACAGATCGGTAACAAGTAATGAGATCGAAGCCATCAGAAAAAGTCTCCCAGTAAAGAAAAGCCCAGGAACCAATGGCTTCACTGCTGTTGGCTTCACACCACACATTTACAGACCTAGTACCAATCCTACTCAAACTGTTTTGAAAAACAGCAGGGAATATTTCCAAACTTATTCCGTGGGGCCATTATTACCCTCATACCAAAATCAGACAAAGACATCAAAGAAGGAAACTACAGGCCAGTATCTCTAATATTGATGCAAATATCCTCAACAAAATACCAGCAAATCAAATTCAGCAATACATTAAAAAGATAATTCATCAGGATCAAGTGGGATGTGTCCCTGGGATGCAAGGGTCATTCAACACTCAATGTGATACATCATATCAACCAAATAAACGACAAAACAGTATGATTATGTCAACTGAAACTGAAAAAGCATTTGATGAAATTCAGCATTCCTTCATGTTATAAATCCTCAAAAAACCAGGTACAGAAGAAACATACTGCAACATAATAAAAACCACATGAGAGAGACTCATAGCTAGAATCATATGGAATGGGGGAAAATGGAAAGCTTTTCCTCTAAGATCTGGAACATGATAAGGATGCCCACTGTCACCACTGTTACTTAACATAGTACTGGAAATCCTAGCTAAAGCAATCAGTGCAGCCCCTGATACGGTCCCCAACCAACCCTGCCCCCTGCCACCAGCAGTGTAGCCCCCCCCCCCCCATAGCGCACCCAACACACCCAAACTGCCCCCTCTCCCCGCACCGTGGGCATTGCAGCACCCCATAGCGCCCTCAACCCGAAACCCCCCCACCCGCACCCCCGAGCAGTGCAGCCCTGGATAGCACCCTTAACCCACCTCACTGCTGCCGGCAATACAGTCTGGGATAGTGCCCCCAACTAGCAGGCCTAGCGGTTTTCTCTCATCCAATCAGAACATGAAGTCCAGGAACCTGGCTTGCATAACCTCAGTATATAAAACATGCTAAGGGGGAATTGCGCCATTGCAGGCTGTTGTGCCTCAGCGTTCCCAACCCCTCCGTTCGCACCTTAAAGAAGGCGAAAGCGGAGTCCCCCGCCACACGCTGGACGCTGGAGGCTGGATCCTGTGGCACCAGGGCTTGGCTCTGCATAGTGTGTGGCGGCGATGGAGACAGGCGGCTGGCAGCGAGAGCTGCTTCTTGCCTGGATACAGGAAGGGAAAGAGGAGGCACCTACCACAGGCTGGAGGCTAGAGTCTGTGGGACTGCGGCTGGCCTCGCTGGCTCGCCTCGCTGCGGTGGGTGGCAGCAGCGGACACTGCAGCCGGCCAGAGCGTAGAAAGGCGATTGGGTAGGTGCGCTATCCGGGGCTATACTGCCCGAGGCCGGGGGCCGGTAGGGGTGTTATTCCGGGCGTCACTACTTTAGGTGTGCTATGCCGGGCTGCGCTGCCCGCAGCAGCGGTGGGGGCGGGTTGGGGGCACTATCCTGGGCTGTATTGCCAGCAGCAGTAGGGCTGGTTGGGGGCCCTATTGTGTGCTACACTGCCCGCCACAGGGGACGGGTTAGGGCCGCTACTGTGGTTACACTGCCGGCGGCGCCGGGGTGGGGGGATTGGTCGGGGTGCTGACTGGGGTGGGGGGTGGTTTGGGGGCTGCACCGCCCGCGGCGGGGGACTTGTTGGGGGCGCTATCTGGGGCTGCAATGCCCCCCGCAGGGGATAGGTTAGGGGCCTCCGGTGGTACACTGCAGGTGGGGGGGGCGGGAAAGGGGGAGTACAGGGAGGTGATTGGACGGGGTGGTTTCGGGCGCTATCGCGGGCCGGACTGCTCATGATAGAGGGGGGCGTTGGGTGCTCTATTGGGGGCTACACTGCCAGCGGCAAGGGGCAGTTTGGGGGCGATACCCCACCGGTGGCAGGTGGGGAGGTGTGGTGGGTTGTGGACATCATTAGGGGGCTGTACTGTGGTCAGTGGGAGCGAGTTAGGGGAGCTATCAGCTGCTGCACTGCCTGTGGCGGGGGTCAGGTTTGGTGCGCTATCGGGACCATATTCTCGGTAGTGGCATACGGGTTAGGGGAGCTGTCGGGGGCTAAGCTGTCCACGGGGGACTGCGGGTTGGGTGCGCTATCCAGGGCATCATACCCCGCGGCTGGGGGATGGTTGGGGGTGCTATCCGCTATCTGGGACGGCACTGCCCATCGTGGGGAGCGGGTTGGGGGCCTTAAGGATCCTTGGCTGCACTATTCACACGGCGGGGATCAGGTTGCAGTGCTTTCTGGGGCGTCACTGCCCGCGGCGGGGGGGTTGGTTGGGGGTCCAATCCGTGGCTGCATGGCCCACGGCAGGGGGCAGGTTGGGGGAGTTATCTGGTGCTGCAACGTCTGAGGCGGGGACGGGTTGGGGGCGCTATTGGGTTTCTACACTGCAGCTGTGAGGGGAGGGTGTTAGGGGCGCTATCCCGGGTCCAACAGCTGGCGGCGGGTTAGGGGCGCTATCAGGGGGTGCCCTGCAGGTGGCGGCAGAGGTTTCAGCAACACCAGTGGCCTACAAAGAAGGAGCCTTCCTCCTCTCCCCAGACTCCAGACTCTAGAGGGCGACCTCCTCCTGCTCCTGCTCCTGGAGCGCAGCGAGCGCACAGCGTTTCCGCAGGAATCCTGAGAATGGCAAGGCCCCCATACCCGCGGTGGTTCCCAGGCCCGCCCCCTCTCGCAGCTGCAGCCCCACCTGCCAGCGCGTGCCACCTCCGAGCGACTTCCGGGACCCGGGCGGCCACCGCGGTGCAGGCGCGCGCCCAACGGCTTTGCGAGGCTCACTCGGTCTGAGAGGTCGGAGGCTGCGAGTGTCGCTGCTGAAGGCTGTGGTGGACTGGGCTGGATCGCGGATTTTGGATTAGATAATAGATTTGGGATCGCGGATTGGGGGTTGGATCGCGGATTTGGGGTTGGATCGGGGATTTGGGGTTGGATAGGGGATTTGGGGCTGGGTCGGCGGGGGCGTGGGGGGAGGTGAAAAGGTAACAGGGAGCTGCCCCCTCTCAAGAGCCGGTAGTTGGGAGTCTGAGAAGTCACCACCATGAAGTTGTTCGGCTTCAGGAGCCGCAGGGGCCAGACGGTCCTGGGCTCCATAGACCACCTCTACACGGGTTCCGGGTACCGAATCCGGTACTCGGAACTGCAGAAGATCCACAAGGCAGCTGTCAAGGGCGACGCTGCGGAGATGGAGCGCTGTCTGGCGCGCAGGAGCGGAGACCTTGACGCCCTGGACAAGCAGCACAGGTAGCGAGGGCTCAGCCCGGGGTGGCAGGGGGTCCCCAGGTCCGGCTTTCTGGCAGCCCCTGGGACGGGGGCCTTGGAGGTCGCCGGGCACCCTCTGAGCGGCGGAGCCAAACGGACCCTCAGCTGTTTTCCATCCCTCATAATTCCCTGGCTGGAGCAGTTGGTGGAGAATTTGAGTGATTTAACTCACAAAGTTAAGCATATACGGTGTTGATAATTTTAACGTACACGTTTAAAACATGGTTTATATACATTATAGGAGGTGCCTAATGAGAGAACTCATTCCCCTATCAAAAATGCCGTGAGTTATTTTCAGTAGGCGAAAAGTTCTCAGATAAAACTGTCCGTTTTACATCCGTATCCCCCTGTGTAGGTAGGTTCTTTACTGAAGGTTCTTAGAGAGAAACTTGGAAGTGGGAGGTGGGTTCTGTGTTCTTGAATGGGAAGACACATTTTCCTCAGAATGTGAGCTCTTTCTGTGTTTATCAATTTTACATAGACAGAATGAAAATATCAAGGTTTTAACATTTTTGTATGACACCTGCTGTCTTTCACTATTGTGATGACATTTAAAAAAATTTCATAATGGAGTGAAAAAACACTTGCTGCTCTAGATATCAAAATGTGCTATTAATTTCTACAATTAATTGTTTACTAACAGCTGAAAAGACAAACGCATAGAACAGAATAGGCAACCCAGAAACACTGAAATTATGTAAGATATACGTAAGGATTAATGAGTAGGAAAGGATGAATTATTAATGAAAAAATGTCTGCTGTTTGAAGAAAACTAATGAAATTTTATGTCACAAACATGAGTTCCTGATGGAATACAGATTGAAATTTTTACATATGAAAATGAGTAAAGTACCGGAAGAAAACACAAACGCTTATTTTACAGGTACACTTTATGTTCACAAAAGCCTTCCTAAGAATGACCTCATAAGAAGACATTCTGAAGGTTGATTTAGCAAACTAAAAATTAAAACTGCCTGTGTTTCAGAAAAAAAAATAACAAAAGAGAGCTTACTTGAAAAATATTAACTATATTATATATATATATATTCAGATGAAAAGTGTGTTTTCATTTTAGAGGGAATTCATTATATTCTTTTTCTTTTTTTTTTTTTTTTTTTGAGTGAGAGTCTCACTTCTTTGCCCAGGCTGGTGTCCAATGGCACAGTCTTGGCTCACTGCAACCTCTGCCTCCCGGGTTCAAGCAATTCTCCTCGCTCAGCCTCCCAAGTAGCTGGGGTTACAGGCAGGTGCCAGCATGCCTGGCTAATTTTTCTATTTTTAGTAGCGAGGGGTTTCACCATGTTGGCCAGGCTGATCTTGAACTCCTGAGCTCAAGTGATCTGCCTGCCTCGGCCTCCCAAAGTGCTTGGATTACAGACATGAGCTACCATGCCCAGCCTATATTGTTTATTATATATCATATGATATATATATATTGCTGATACATATACCATATATATTATTACAGATATAATCTGTTATATATATATCAGTTATATATACACATTAGATGAAAAGTTGTATGTATATATACACATTAGATGAAAAGTACATTTTCATTTTACAGGGAATTCTTTCAAATCAAATCATCAAAAACTCTAAAATGGGCAAAGTACTTTTTTCCAGATCTGCAAGTTATTTGTGTACATAGCAAAAAGTCCTTCGCATTTCTGGTATAAGAATTTAAATTAAAGGAGGAATGAAAGTTTTCTATCCACAATATTTGCGAGGACGTTTTGTACTCCTGCTTAAAGTTTAAGTTGCTGATTACTTTTCAAATAGATAATTTGGTGGTAAGTACTACATTTAAAAAATATGTATGCTCTTTACCCATCAATTCCATTATACTAAAACACCCTTAGGAAATAAAGATACATGCACTTTATTTTTCACAGCACTTATTTTAAAAAGAACCCATAGAATGGATCCTATAAATAAATTTCAGTTGCATCCATAGGATGGAATAATATGTGACCATTGAAGGTGGCAATAGATACAGAAGTATATTGATGTGCGAAGATGTATTTTGTTATAGCTAGTGAGGAAAAAAAATCAATTAAATTATACATACACACAAACATACTATGGTCTTGTTTTAGCAAAAAATATGTACAAAATATAAAATTTGTAATTTCTGAGCATTTGTATTTTAAGTAAAGTTCCTTTTTCTTACCTGTGATTGCTGCAGTGAACATGTACAAAACTTCTAGTAAAGTTTATTAATAAAGGAATAATCCTCGGGAAGAGAGGAATATGAATCTTACAGTATTAAAAATAATTTCTCACTTTCTATTTTTTATCATTATTGTGTGTATTGTTATCTTCTTTGAACTTTTAGCCTCTTCAGAAGTAAAAAGGGAATGTTTTTATCTGTTTCCAGATTTTATTATCTATATATTTTATATGTACATATGTTTTTCTTATATATTCATTCAATTTATGCAAACAATGATAGATTATTTCATTTTAATTGTATTCTTTAAAAATAAAAATAACATAAATAATTACTATTGCAAAAATATTGCTTTATAGGAGTTATTTAAAAATATTGAACTCCCCAACTGTATTTATCCATTCTTTCATTCCATTTATTCATCAAACATAACCTGAGTACCTGTTATGTAGCAGACATATTCTACTATCTCTCAGGACCCTTCTATCCTTAAAAACTTCATGTTTACCTGCCCTGCCTGCACAAGTTGAGAGATTTAAAATAGGAATATTGGGACTTAATCTCCTTGAAACTTTGTCTCCCACCTTTCAAACAAAAGCATTTCTGAAGTTAGAAAATAGTAGAAGATAACCTTTAACTGCCCATTCAAAAGTTTATCAGTCTTAAATACTAATATTAATCATTGGAAAGTCTTATTTGCATATATTCTGTAAGTATAAATATTGAATAAAATGAGCCATATGTATTCATTTGAATCATGAGTTTCCTTTGGCTTCAGTTTGTTTGAAAATCAAGGAATTAATTTGTTTAAAAAATGCATTATTGTTATTTCAGTGCTCTATCCCCATAGTACCTTTAAGAACTAAAATGTATTTACATGCCAGTTGTATGCCTAGAACTGCCCTAGACCTGCTGAGTATACCATATTCTACTTAATGTAAGGTCTCATGGATTGTGTGATGCCCCGCTATTTTATATATCAATAAGATAATTTTTAAAATGCTACCAATTATAGTTATAATAATATGTGTCATTCCAATGTCAGAAGTATTAAAATGTGACCTACTCTTTAAGCCATCCTGCAAAGTAGGTATAATTGTATCTTTTACCTAATTAAAATGTTTTTGTTAAGTAGTAGTAATAGTAACAATTATAATATCTGGCTGGGTGCAGTGGCTCACACCTGTAATCCCAGAATTTTGGGAGGCTGAGGTGAGAGGATTGCTTGATGCCAGGAGTTTGAGACCATCCTGGGCAACAAAGTGAGATTCTTACTCTACAAAAATTTTTAAATAAATAGCTGGGCATGCTGGTGCACATCTGTAGTGCCAGCTACTCAGGAGGCTGGGGATGGAAGATCGCTTGAGCCTAGGAGTTCCAGGCTGCATTGAGCTATAGTTACATCATTGCACTCCAGCCTGGGCAAAAGAGTGAGACTTAGTCTCAAAAAATAAAAATCTTACAATTATTGAGTTATTGTAGGAACTATTCTAAATACATAGCTTCTCATTTAAGCATCATGATGGTGTCCTATGAGATAGCTACTATTGTCCTCTTTCTTAATGAGGAAGTTGAGACACAGAAAGGCTAAGCAATAGTTGGTAAGTGACAGGGTTTAAAGAAGGACTCAAGCCCTAGTTGAACTGAATCCAAAGACTGAGCTGTTTCTATTCAAATAGGCTGCTGTTTTCATTAAGGCAGTGAGCAATAAGAGCTAGTAAATATTGTACTTTCTTCAAAAAAATTAAGTGTTTGTTTTGAAGGCAGAGGAAAAACATGCTATTCAGTTTTTAATTACATGAATGATTGTATGTTTTGAGATGTTGCACTACAGTTTCCTAAAAAGTCCTGTTACTCTCGTAGAACTGCTCTACATTTGGCCTGTGCCAGTGGCCATGTGAAAGTGGTCACTCTCCTGGTTAACAGAAAATGCCAGATTGATATCTATGACAAAGAAAATAGAACGCCTTTGATACAGGTATATTAGAGCCAACTCTTTTAGCATGACATGGATTTGATTTGCATATATAGAATTAAAATAAATTGATCTCATTTAAATATAACTAGTTGGTGAAACCTGTGGAATGTGTATTTTGAATTCTTGGAATTTACATTCTGTTTCTTGGTCTAACACGGACAGGCTGTCCATTGCCAGGAAGAGGCTTGTGCCGTTATTCTGCTGGAACATGGTGCCAATCCAAACCTTAAGGATATCTACGGCAACACTGCTCTCCATTATGCTGTGTATAGTGAGAGCACCTCACTGGCAGAAAAACTGCTTTTCCATGGTGAAAATATTGAAGCACTGGACAAGGTATAGATCAATCAACTTTCTTTCCAAAATATTTGTTTTAACATTGACATAGGTAAGGGTCAATTTTTTATATTTGGAAGCTCAACCATTCCCTGAATGCAAATGCAAATAATTTTGAAATAATTGTCTAAGATTTTATTTTAAATATTGATACTTTTAAAGGAGCATTAAAGGGTACAGCTTTATAAAACGCACTTTGGAAAATATTTGTGAATTTGTTAAAGGTAAAACCTTTTCAACTTTTTTTCTATGCAGGGTTATCTTTCCTTTTTTTCCCCGTAATTAGCGTAAAACAACACAGGAAAGAAAATATGCCCTGGAAATAGGCTTTATCTTAAAACTCAAACAAAACTAAAGCAACTTACAATAAGTGGACATGTTGCTGCTGCTGATAATTTTCTGAAAAACTGATGTATCATCTCTCAGTGGCACAAGGCTTAAGAGGGAAAAATGGGAAGGGAAAAGGAGAGCAATCAGAAATATGCAGGTCACTTGGAAATTAGGTAATGAGGGAAAATGCTATGAAGAGTTTTTTTTTTCTCTTAGTTTGTTGTTGTTCCAGTTTATGTGTTGAGACAAGGCACTCCTTAGCTTTGGGTCTAATAATTTTTTGTTTGAAAATGAGAGTGAGTTGAAACTCGCCTAGAGATGAATTTTAGGAAGACTTTGAGGAAACCAGATTGGCAGTGAATATGTGGTGGTGAAGTGAGAAACACTTCAGCAGAAGGTGGAACAAATTATTAACTGACTTATTGCCCATCCTGGCAGAAACAGCCACTTAGATAAGAGTCTAAAGACTCCTCTCAAACCTAGAATGTCTTGGTGGGAAGGTGGGAGATAAGGAGCTTGTAAATAGCAAAATCAAGTGGGATTTTGAGTTTACTTGTTTGTGTTCTACCCATACCCAGGAAACTTAACTGGAGCTTTAATAAATGACACTATCTCTTACTCTTTTCTCTTTTTGGCCACATGTCCAACTGATAAAGGGAACTAGCCATGCGGGTGAGAGATGAGACTGAAGTGATTGCTGCACTAATTCTCAGAATTGTGCATTACAGTGACCTGAGGACATTTTGTTAAAAATCTACAAATGTAGGCTTTCCCCTGAGGATTTTGATGTAATAGACCTTATAAGGCCTGAACATTTTTAAAAACATTTTCTTGAAGCTGGGCACAGTGACATGTTCCTGTAGTCCCAGGTTGAGCCTGAGTTTAAGTTCAGCTTGAGCAACATAGTGAGACTCTTGCCTCTAACAACAATAACACCAAAAAAAACAAAAAACAAAAAACAAAAAAAAAAACTCTCAAGTTTCGGATACACTCCTGATTAAGAACCCCAGAACAGATAAGTGCAACATATAATTTCTGTATCTCAAAAACGTAAGAAATCTCTAGAAGAATTGGCGTTTGATAGGTGCTACTTCCTTCGAAGTTCTCCTTTTCAGTAATATTAGCCTGACTTATCTGTCTTTCTCTACATCAGTGACTAGGAAGTGAAAGGAAATATTACTGGTAATATCTCTCAGCTTACAGAATAACACCTTTCCTTCCCAACATTAATCATTCACTGACATTCAGAGAGTTTTTAGAAATTTGCTTATGGGTAATCTTTCAATAAGTAGAGGCTGACCCTTTCATGATTTGATGTCCCTTTGTCACCATGCACGTGATTACGTGTCAACAAATGTTCATTACAAGTTGGGCTTTCTCAATTAGAATAGTAGCAAATCCTGAACTATTTTTTTTAGTTGAAGTTGTATTATGAACTAGCTCAGTATGTTTGTTAAGTTTATAGAGCTTTAGCATAACCAAAATGTCAGTTTTAAACACTGAAGTCCATGGAGTTAATAAAAATACAGATATGAATTCTTTTAATAATTTAGTTTTAGCAGTCCTATGAACCAATTATCTATTTGGTTAACAATCTGGGAAAATTATATACAAATATATTTTAAATGAATAAATGTTGGAAAAATTCTTGAAGCAGGTATTATGAGTCTTTTTAAGCAATTTTTATTATATATGAGAGCCTGAGTTTTTGGTAAAACATATGATACTAGAGAAAGAAAATATTTTACATGCAAATACTTGGATTATACACAACCATTTAGTAACACATTAATAGCGAATATAAAAACACAAGGGCTCTATTCTAATGTGGTACACAGATTTGTTTGTTTGCCTCTATAAGTTGAATCAACATGTAAAATTTAGAAGACTGGTGTAGAAATCTGGACTTCAGGCTTATTCTAAAAAATCAAATCTGGTGTCCCCTGAGTTTCTATCACTGTTTGGTCTGCTGTGCAGAGGTTGCCCCTTTAGAGAAGGCGTGTATTCTCCAGTTTGCTGCTGTGCCCACCTTAGTACTTCCTTTACTCAGGCAACCTTCCTTTGTGCTTGTAAGTATTTGAGTTTACAACTCCTATCTTATAGTATATTTTGATAAAGATTTCAAGGTTTTTAAGTCAGCGTGTATTTGTTATAATATATAGTCTATAGAGTATATAAATCCCTCAGTTATGAAGTTGAATTTTGGAATTTAGAAGTTTTTGAAACTCTTTTCTTTATATATACCACAAATAATTATCTGCCCCTAAGAATGCCTAGAAGACTTTTTAGGTTATTCCTGGTTATAGTTGGATAATTTATGAATATTGCAGACATTACATCTTTCTCCTCAGCGCTCTTCCTTAGAAATGCAAGTGACTTACTGGCTTTTATTATGCCAGAAATAATTCATATGGATCAGTATGAGAACTTTTATTGATAGGCCATTATGTTTTTATTTCTGATTTATATTTTGTCTAAAATAAAAAATAATTTTAAGTAGCCCTTTAAGTGGAAGCCAATAAAAATGGATTTAAAAAGTAGAGCTGCCCTGGAGTCCCGGGATTACCATTATAATTGAGAATAGTATTTCTTACTGAGTTTTGGTTTTTTAAATATTTGTTCTTAAGTTTTTTAAACCTATTTCTCTTACACAGAACATACTGAGCTTTCTAACAGTAAAGATAAAAATCTATTCTCTTGTATTAGGGAAAAAACCCATGGACTATCTAATAATAAGGAAAATAAGTGCATTTGAAGCCAATCTCTCTTAATTCAAAGCTCATTTCCATAGTGACCCATTTGGAGCAGGAGTGCCTGACATTGACATCTGGGATCCTGACACCATTGATAGAAGTGAATCAAGCAAGTTTGTGCCACCCAGAAGAAACCTCCACCTGCATTGGGAAGCTCTGGCAACTGTACCCCTAAAACTCTTAATTCCTCAAATGTTAATGTTTGCCACAAATAGTATTGTCAAATGGGGATTAGGTACAATTCAAGAGATTTCTTGATTATTGGACATAACATACAGTTTTATAATACTTCTCAAATGCAGATGGTCATGGAGTCCTTCTCTTGGGGTATAATACTTCTGGTAAAGCAAATATTCTTTGGAATATAGTTTAAGAAACACTGCTTTAGTGAGAATAATTTAGATCATTAATTTATGTAAAAAACTTAAAATGTTTGCTACTATGTCTTAGGGTTTTGGGGGTATAGAGACAAAAGATACAGACCTTGCCTCAAGAAGCTCTTGGTTTCAGTGGGACACAGTGAAATGATTACAATGTACCATGCTAAGTGCTGTGATCAAAGCAAGGATTCTTGGGACTGGTAAATGTCTAAAGTGAGTTTTGGCAATGACCACAGTTAATCCGGGGAGACAGAGGAGGATTGTTTGCAAGGCAAAGAGCAGCACATCAGAAAGCACAGAGTGAGAAGGAAGGGACTGCTTTTCTTTTACTTCCTTTCTATATTGTATGTTGAAGTTCAAAGCACCTTAGAGAAGATTTTCAGTTCAGTTGAGAAATATGTAATTTTCTGAATTACTAATTTTTTCTGCTGTTTTATAGGACAGTAATACCCCACTTTTATTCGCTATAATTTGCAAGAAAGAGAAAATGGTGGAATTTTTATTGAAAAACAAAGCAAGTACACATGCCGTTGATAGGCTGAGATGGTACAGTAGTTCTTTTTTTTTTTAAATAAAAACTGTGTATTCTAGAGTGGTAACAGTCACTGAAGTCAGAAATATTAATAAGAAGATTAACGTAATTATTGGCATATAGTGAAAAATATCACCATGAATAATCAGATAGATCAGCAAATATTTGGACTGAGTAACATAAAGAACAGTATATAGTAGGATTCATCTTCTCCTAAATATAGAGTGTTTGTTATTTATAATTGGATGTTTTTGGTACTGTAATCTTGTATTAGCTAAAGGGTTTTGTATTAGCTTTATTAAGTTTTTTTGGAGATGCAATCTGGCTCTGTTGCCAGGCTGGAGTACAGTGGTGTGATGGCTCACTGCAACCTCCACCTCTCAGGCTCAAGTGATTCTCCTGCCTCAGCCTTCCAAGTAGCTGGGGCTACAGGTGCACGCCGCCATGCCCAGCTAATTTTTGTATTTTTAGTAGAGATGGGATTTCACCATGTTGGCCAGGATGGTCTCGATCTCTTGACCTCGTGATCTGCTCTCCTTGGCTCCTCAAAGTGCTGGGATTACAGGCATGAGCCACTGCACCTGGCCAGTTTTATTAATTTTTAAAGTGTGGACTTTTAGTTTATGACTACTAGCATTGTCATTATTATTATTGTTGTTGTTGTTGTTGTTGTTTTCAGCCTGCAGATAGCTCTTATCTGACCCCTAGCTGATTTGAATTATATATCAGACTAGGAAAGCAATGGCGAAATCTTCATCTAAATCTTTACCTACTTTAGATAAGTGACCTCAGCACAGTTTCTTGGCCATCAAAGGACTATGAGTTAGCAACTTGTATTATGTCATACCCCAGTGGGACAAGAGGCTTCCTTGTTGTCCTTTTCTTTCAGCCTTGGTGATAATTTACAAAGATGAACACTTGAGCACCCTAGATGCTTATAGACCCAAGCTAGTACATGCAAAATGTTATTATGTCTACACTGACAGGTGGATATTAAATTGGTAAAGTGTATCAAACTAGCTGTTTAAAAAAGTCTCTATTAAAGTTCTTGAGTGGAGTGATTTCTTTGTTATTTTAGAACAGCCCTCATGCTTGCTGTGCACTATGACTCACTGGGTATTGTCAACATCCTTCTTAAGCAAAGTATTAATGTCTTTACTCAAGACATGTGTGGACGAGATGCAGAAGATTACGCTATTTCTTGCCGTTTGACAAAGTAAGTGTTTATGTTAAAAGGCCAGTTAATATTGAATTGAAGTTTAAAATAATTGCAACTATTCCATCTTATACATTAGGTGAGAGTTCCTAGTTTGGTTCAGATAGTTTGAAATAGCAATGAGTTAGTCTACCTTTTAGCCAGAAATCAAGCAGAAATCTAGATTAGTTAGAAGTAGAGTGCAAGATATTTTCAGGATTTTTAAGACCTTTATCCCTAGGGATCTCAATGTTGTTCATTTTATCCTAAGTATAATCCCCATGCATGGGATAAAAAGAGCCACATTTTTTACTTCTTTTCCTTTCTTTTCTTTTCTTTTTTTTTTTTTTTCTTGAAACAAGGTCTCACTCTGTTGCCCTGGCTGCTCTTGAACTCCTGAGCTCAAGTAATCCTCCTGCCTCGGCCTGTCACAGTGCTAGCCACCATGCCTGGCCTGACTTTTCTAATTAGTTATTGGGTCTTGAAATGTCCAATTTAGCAGAAAATCTTGTATTTTCCCCTGGGGCTATCTCCTGTGTCTTCCTTCTTTGAATTTTCCAAGAAGCTAAGGAGTTTCCTAAGTCCAAGGAAGGGAATCTTTCTTTACAAGTCAGAAGAAGGGGGAAAAAGGCCATTCTGATCATTCTGTTGTTTCAATGGACTCATTTCCTGTATTGTTGCCATTGTAACTAGTCCTGCAATCTGATAATGATTGACCTTTGCCACCAGGATGACTTCACTCATTCAGACCCCTCGGTTTTTGTGGTGATTCATACATACAGTTCAAAGCTATGGTGTTTATTAATTTATGTACTTATGCTCAGTCATTGTTCCCTGATGCCAGCACCCTGATCTGGCAGCTAGGCCTCCTAGCTTTACCCACACAAATATTGAGCAAGTTGATCCTCACCCTACACTAAAAACCTTATTTGGAGCCCACATCTTAGCTATACTTAGCCTAGGCATTCATGGTAAGTTATCCTTTGAGACCCGTGTTTGTCTGTTCTTTAACCAACATTAGTTGGGATTGCTCTCAACAGTCAGGGATGTTCAAATAATGTTGCAGGAAAAGATTAGGGTTCCCTTTCCCTTTTGCTATCAGATCTGTACCTTGAGGCTTTTTTACATCCTGTGGAGCAGCTTTGGTTAGATAGCAGAAGGTTCCATGTTATCTTTCCACCGAGTAGTGGGAACCAACTTGCAGTTGGCCCCTCAAGTAATGTGTCTCTATGATAATGAAAATCTGGGCTAATCACAACTCTTCCTGGAGTTTTAAATATATTTTAAAATTCTACCTCACAGGAAGCCATTCAATAAAATTCTCTGAATCTAAAGTAGGTGAGTTGGATTTAACAGAGCTAAGCCTCATCCATGACTCAGGAGTGTCCATGTATCAAACAGGGCTTTGTACTTGTTTCAGCAGCACATATTTTAAAATTGGATCAATACAGAGCAGATAAGCATGGCTGCTGCCTAGGGATGGCACATAAATTCAGAAAGCATTCCATATTTTGCATAGTTCCGGGAAGGTCATTTGACTATTTGTCGAGTAGCTCCAAGGAAGCAGTGTGAGTGAAACCAAAACAGAAGACACCCAATATTGAAATTGTGATTATAACTGTGAAACTACTGATGTAAGGTGATCTCTGAAATGAGAACAGAGCTGAGTAATAAGGGGATGTTACTTGTTGCCGGTACATGTCTTGGAAATGACAAAATGTCAACTTGCATTTCCTTCATGGAACTGAAAAGCAATAAAAGCAGGGTTTTGTCTTGTATGTTAGTTGGAGAGGACCATGGAGATCCAGTGTCCTAGCACAGATCTGCTGGCTCAGAGTTTGAGGAGGTAGAGAAAGAGTGGTAGTTGTCCAAGCCCAGGTTTTGACACCTATTAGTTTTCTGCCCTTGGTGTGATTGATGAGCTCAGTGATGGGAGACAATTAGGTAATCTATTTTAATCAGATGAGTTATGAATTAGGTAAAATGCCCTGAATTACAAGCCACAAAGAATACAACTAATAACCAAAATTAGCACTTAATAACATTTTCTGCAAACTGCAACAATTGAATATTAGAACTTATAGAAAAACACACACCAAGCAATAAAGTTCAAGAATAAATCATTTCATTGCTTTACTATTTCCTGAACATTTAAACATGTAATCTTATTACATCTTCCTAACAACCTACTGAAGTAAGGTAGCAAAATCCTTATTTTTTAGAAGAAATCATGGATCCTAAGAGAAGCAACTTGTCTGGAAACAAAATATCGATTAGTTACAGAGTGAGGACTTATTCTGAGTGCAGGACATGTTACATGATGTCCAGCTAACTAGAGTTCATTTACTGAGCTATGCTTCCTCCATTTATGAGTACTTCACTTTTTTTCTTCTTTAATTATAAGCTTAATAAGCTTGTAAGGTTTAAAAATTTGAAGTGTATGGGACATTAAAATTCTGATATTAGGTCTGATATTGCCTGAAATGGTTTTAGAACTTAATATGTTTGGTAAATATTTTTTATTTCAGTATTAAAATAGCAATTTTATTTATTACTTTTGTATACATAGAATTCAACAACAAATTTTGGAGCATAAAAAGATGATACTTAAAAATGACAAACCAGGTAAGACTTCTGATAGTGAATTTCTTATTACTCTTGGTGGTCCTACTCTTGATAAGAAAGTAAAAAGTAAGATGTAAGATTAAGGTAGTGTTAATAAAAAAAGACCAGTTTAAAAATATATGTAAATTAAATGTGCATATATGTATATACATTTGTAAATTATTTTTTAAAATTTAACTTCTTTAGTTTGAAATTCAGATTTATTTAAGAAGGTAGTTGTAGCTAACTTATAATCTCAAACATTATTGCCTGAAAAAATTCCTTTATTTAATTATGATCCCTAAAATCCTATATAATATTTTTGCATAAATAAGAAAAAAGATTTTTAAGTTAGTATGTTGTATGTTTCCTCTATAGTCACATTATAACAAATTGGACTTGTTATACAAATGGATCTTCTATTTCATTTTTATAATAAATTGTTTATATTTAGTAAACAAATAATTACAGTTGACCCATGAATAATGTGGGGGTGAGGGACTCTGATCCCTGTGCAGTTGAAAATCTGAGTATAACTTTTGATTTCTTCACCTTAGCTACTAATAGCCCACCACTGACTGGGAGCCTTCCTGATAACATAAACAGTTGATGGACACCTATTTTGTTTGTGCTGCATTATTATATACTGTGTTCTTGCAATAAAGTAAGCTAGAGAAATGAAGCTGTTAGAAAGAAAATCATCAGGAATGATATATTGACTTTTCATAAAGCATAAGTAGATCCTGACAAAGGTCTTCAAGATCTTCAGGTTGATTAGCCTGAGGAGGAAGAGGAGAGGTGGATCTTGCTGTCTCTGGGTTGCAGAGGCAGAAAAACATCAGCATATAAGTGAATCGCTGCAGTTGAAACCCTTGCTGTTGAAGGGCGAACTGTATTACATATTGATTTGTGTCACTAAGGAAGTAACTATCTTTAGAACCAGGAACTCAGCAATTCCTTTCTGGTACCATAAATAAATGGCAATAAGAACTGTAAAACTGAACCAGCATGCACCCATACAAATAAGAGATTATTTTTTGAGGATAGCTACTGAGCACAGAAGACAGAAAAGCAATTCCTTCATGAGAAGCACAAGTTATATTACACATTCTTACACAAGCAAAATGGTTTTATCTGTCATAGTTTGTACACATACACACATGCACATATACACATACATATGTGCGCACGCATGTGCACACAGACACCAAGTTAAAAGTCCTGCTGATTCTTAATGACCAAATCCAACTGTTCGTGGGGAGTGGCAGATAACACTTCCTACAGTTTGGATGCAATTCTTTTGACTTTTTGACTTGTTCTGTAATGAACTGCCTTTAATGGGTGAATCATGTTTTTAGTTTTATAAGAAACAAGAAGATTAGAAGCAAGTAAACAGGAACTCTATGATCAGTAGTAGACTATTATAGTATATTCAATAGTCATATGTTTTTCTCCAGTTATACAATTTACTTGAATGATGCACAATTAATCAATTATTATTATTATAGGAGATGGGGTCTCTCTATGTTGCCTAGGCTAGAATAAAGTGTCTATTCATTGGTGCAAACATAGCTCACTGTAGCCTTGAACTCCTGGGCTCAAGCAGTCCTCCTACCTCATCTTCCTGAGTAGCTGGGACTACAGTTTTGTATGGTTATATCTGGCCTGATACACAGTTGTTTATTTATTTATTTTTGATACAGTGTTTCCCTCTCTTCCCTCTGTTCCCTCTGTTGCTCTGCACTGGAGTGCAGTGGTGCCATCTTGGCTCACTGCAACTTCTGCTTCCTGGCCTTAAATGATCCTTTCACCTTTCGCCTTAGCCTCCCAAGTAGCTGGGACTCCAGGCATGCACCACCACACTCGGCTAATTTTCTTTTTAAGGTTTTTTTGTTTTTTCTTTTGTTTAATAGATGAGATCTCACTATATTGCCCAGGCTGGTCTGGAACTTCTGGGCTCAAGTGATCCTCCTGCCTCAGCCTCCCAAAATGCTGGGATTTACAAGTGTGAGCCACTGCACCTGACCTGCACAATTATTATAAAAAGGAATTAAGCCCAGTTGAGTTGCAGAAAATTGACCACCTTTTCATTATTTTTTCTAGAAACATTCATATTGTAGAACATATTGTCAATCACCCAGATTCTCTATTTTTTATTCGGTTAAAATAGGATTGCTGCTTATTCCACATTATTTTCTGACATTATTGTGTCATTTATTCCTTTTATGGCTTTATTCATGTGGATAGATATAGAAATACAAGAATCTCCAAGTCAAATATCAAGGGAAAAAAAGAAAAGAAAAACAGTTTAGGGAAAATTATTCTGTGAAATAGCCATCTGATTAGTTACATATATCACATCAACTTAATACAAATCTTACACAATGTATTTGTGTCAAGGTTTCCCAAGACCACCCCAGGTTTGGTGGTTCACTAGAAGGACTCACAGGACTCAGCAAATAGTCATACTCAGATCTTTAATTGATAACAAGAAAGGGGACAAGCAAAATTAGTAGAGGAATAAGGTGCTTGTGGTCAATTCTGGAGGAAACCAGGCACAAGCCTCCAGGAGTTCTCTCCTGTGGAGTGCCCGGGATCTGCTTAATTCTCCCAGGCTCACATTTTGACAACATATGTGCAGTGATGTCTACCAGTACCAGAGTCTCATTAGAGATGAAGTATCCAAATTTTTCTGTGGAAATTATTCTCCCTTACATGTACCCAAATTCCAGACTCTTACAAGGAAAACAGATGTTCAGAGTAACCACACTGTTTCTATAAACACTTTAGACACAGTGAGCCACTCTTCTCAGGGAATGGTGGAAACCCTCCCAATTCCAATTTCCTTAACACCAGCCAAGGGCCAGCCTTGCATGCAGGCCTTTCTAAGGATGGCAGTCTCTTGCCTGCTATATGAAATCTTTTCTGCACAATGCTTATAGCCCCAATTTAATTTTTAGTGTTGTTTTAAAATTTTATTTTAATAACACATAATATTATAAGATAAGGTAACTTGGTACTAATTTCTGTTGTATGATCCATCTTAAGTTGCAATGCTGGTTACTTTTTGACTTTTGGTGACTAACAGGTATTTGTATATAAGTTACCATAGCAATGTTAGGTAATTATAATCTGTCCTTTTTATCTCATTAAGCTTTCAGTAAAATTGTTAAATTAAATAAGCATAATAATTTGAGTTAAAATTAGAATAAAAATTGTATTTTATTTTAATTACATGAATAATCTAGTTTTCATATTGTGCTAAATCCCTGTTTAGAATTATGAAATAAGATAAAATATTCAATCATTTTTATCAATATTTTCTTACCTAAGCATGCAATTAAATTTATTTATTTTATATATTTCATATACTTCAATTTGAGAACTATAATGACCACATGCTGTTACTTTGGTCTTCAATGATCTCTAATTTTTAGGGTCACTGTGTCTTGCTTAAATATATCATCATAACAGGTTCAGTGAATATCTTTATTTTTATTTATTTATTAATTTTTTGAGACAGAGTTTTGCTCTGTTGCCCAGGCTGCAGTGCAATGACAGAATCTCGGCTCACTGCCACCTCCCCCTCCCGGGTTCAAGCAATTCTCCTGCCTCAGCCTCCCAAGTACCTGGGACTACAGGCATGCACCACCATGCCCAGCTAATCTTTTGTATTTAGTAGAGACGGGATTTCACCATGTTGGTCAGGCTGGTCTGGAACTCCTGACCTCAGGTGATCCACCCACCTCGGCCTCCCAAAGTGCTAGGATTACAGGCATGAGCCACTGCACCCGGCCATATTTTTTTATTATTATTATTTTAATTATTGTTCTGGAGATCCTGGGATGCATAAACAGTGAATATCTTTTTTTTTTTTTCTTTGAGATGGAGTTTCACTGTCTCCCAGGCTGGAGTGCAGTGGTGCGATTTTGGTTAACCACAATCTCTGCCTTCTAGGCTCAAGTGATTCTCCTGCCTCAGCCTCCCAAGTAGCTGAAATTACAGGTGCCTGCCACCTTGCCCAGCTAATTTTTGTATTTAGTAGAGGTGAGGTTTTGCCAAGTTGGCCAGGCTGGTCTTGAACTGCCGACCTCAGGTGATCCACCCGCCTATGCCTCCCAAAGTGCTGAGGTTACGGGCATGAGCCACTGAGCCCAGCTGTGAATATCTTTTTTAAATCAATAACTTTATTTCTTAGAGCAGTTTTAGGTTCACAGCAAAATTGAGAGGAAGGTACAGAGATTTCATATATCCCATGCCTCCAACACACGCATAGCCTCCCCCATTATTAGTATTTTCCACCAGAGTGTGGTACATTTGTTACAACTGATGAACTTACATTGCCACATTATAATCACTCAAAGTTCATAGTTTACATCAGGCTTCACTCTTGATGCTGTACATTCTGTGAATTTGGACAAATGTATAATGACATGACATGTATCTATTACTGTTATATTATTGACAGAACAGTTTCACTGCCCTAAAAATTCTCTATGCTATGCCTGTTCATCTCTCCCTTTCTCCCTAGCCACTTGTGGCAGCCATTGATCTTTACTCTGTCTTCATAGTTTTACTTTTTTCAGAAGAGTCATATAGTTGGGATAATACTGTGGATATCTTTTTGAATAGTTAAAAAAATTAAAGCTCCATGGCAATTGAAGGTAGCCATTTAAGATGTTCTTTGTCCTTTTGTCTTTCTTTTGCTTTTTTATCATTGTAAAGAATGATATATGCTGATGAGGTATGCTTTACATACTTAGAAAACATGATTTGTATAGATATTTGGCACATAATGGAAAGGGTTGAGGAAAAGGACACCACGCCGTACCACACAGCACAAACTGGAGCATCTTGCTCTGTGAGGTGGGTCCAGATACAGTGTCTAGCAATGGAAGGGGACAAGCGCAAGGGGTTGTACTTTATAAAACTGGAATCACAAAGTCTTTCATACTTACCTTCGGTTGGAAATAAGACCAGGCAGTGAATGCTATAGGTAAATACATATGTTCCTCACTGATCCTTTTCCTTTGAGGATGAGGTTGAAAACAGCCTGTATTATGATGACATGACTCACCTACAACTAGATTCTGTTATGAGGGATGGCAAGGGAGTTTTGCTTTATGTGAGGTGAAAAAGAATTTTTTTCTCCTACTAGGGAGAATGGCAAGCATTGGAACATTCTGGTAGTAAAAGGGCATTGATAGTTTTCTTTCTATATATTTTTCACATGAGATAATACTGCCCGGCAGCCTGCCACACCTCCCCAGTGTTTCTTCAGCTTATCTCTGAATGTGGATAAGCTCTTAAAGGAGTGATCTTTCCAGTGGTTCTTTCTGTGGGAGGTAAAATGGCAGGTGCACATGGGCCTTGTTATATGTAGGGCAGAGCAAATAGCTACAACTAAGGAAACCACCCAGCACCTTCCCCAGAAGAGTGTTAGCCAGAGTAACACAGTGATCTCTCTTGAGCTCTTCTCCACTGGCAGCTGGAAAGTTTTTGCAAGGATTCCTGTTTCTGGTCTGATTCCTATGTTTTGCTGGCTTCTGGTGATAGGATGTTTTATCCTAAACTGAACAGTTTGAACTGAAGAGCTAGAGAGGCTGTGTTGTGTTATAACAAAATAAGTGCAGTAGTTCCCCCTTAATTGTGGGAGATACATTCCAAGACCCCCAGTGGATGCAAGAAACCACGAATAGTACTGAATCACAAACTGTTTTTTCCTATACATACATATCTATGATAAAGTTTAATTTATAAATTAAGTCTGATGTAATCTGAAGATAGGGTGGGAGAATTGAATTGTGCCATCAGCAGGAATGATTGCTTGCTTGTTGGTGGGGAAAAACTCTCCACACATTTGGTCACAGAAGCCTTCTTTGTTGATGATTGTTGCTGTGGCGTGAGAGCAGAGAAAAACATGTCAAGTATGTCTTTCTGCACATATAGTGGATAAGGGGTACTACTGTATCCTCTAACTGCTCCTCATATTTTGGTCCAGAAATCATGCTCTTTGACACTGTTGACTCATCACACCTGTTCTGCTAACAATAACATTTTTACTCAGTCTCATAGGGTTTGGCTAGGATGACTTGTATACTGCAGTTCACTTGTAGATACCAAATTTTAATAAATTTATTCTTCTTTGCATCTAATAAATACAAAGGGAAGAGTTCTTACTGCATTAATTACCTACCAATAGGTAAAATTAATGTTAATTCTAATAAGGTCCCAGGCATTCTCCCAAAGGAATTCTTTGTAACAAAGCATCAGTCTTATGCTTTTAAAAAACAAACCAAAACAAAACCACCACCACCACCACCAACAACAAAAACAGGATCTAAAACATACACACAAGTGTGCACAATTTTTTTTTATGAAGGTAGTGTCTTACTATGTTTCCCAAGCTGGTCTCAAACTTCTAGATTCCTCAAGTGATCCTCCTGCCTCATCCTCCCAAGTAGTTTGGATTGCAGGCATGCATCACCGTGCATTCTTATGCTTTTAATATTTTGTACATTTATTATTGATTTAAAATGCATTCTACCTTTTTCTTTAATAGATGTTGGAAGTTCTGATGAATCTGCAGTCAGGTAGGACTTTATAGATTTAAAAAATTATGTTAACTAAGAAAATATAGATGGAAGAAACTAATATCTGTTGAGTGTTGTATTCTGGGCTAGACATCCTAATATGTTCTATGCATTTATCATCTCATAAAACCATCACAACAGTGTTCCTATAACCTACTGTTTATTAAATAAACAACTATGGATTAGAGCAGTTGATTAATTGCCTTATAATCTCATAATTAACAAAGTAGCTGGCCTACAGTTTGACCGTCAGCCTGCCTGGCTTCCAAATCCCTTCTCTTGCTCCTCAGCATAGATTGATAGACATCCGTGCAGCACTTGGATCAAGGTATAGGTCTGAATCAGATTAATCAGATTCCTTAATTTAATTAATGTCTAAATTAATGAGAGTTTAAATACCTTAAATACCTTAAACTCTCATTTAAGGTTATTGTTAGAATGTGGTTAGTCGAAGAGTTTGTCCTAATAAATTTGACAATTTCAGTGGTAACCAGTATCTTATTTTTACCATCAAAGCTTTAGGGCAGATCTGACTTAGCTTTGGCCATAGGGCTGTAAGTTTTACAAAAGCAAGTTTAGGCAAGTCTTAGAGAGAAATTATTTGACTTCCCAGTTTGGTTTTCCATTTAGCAAGTATTTCTGCCTGCTTCCATAATACTTTTTTTAGTCTTGTTTCTTTTTCCATGACTTTTCTGTAATCTTGTCTTGATTTTTTAGAACTTTCTTCTCTGCTTTTCTTGCTGTTTCTTTTGTTCTATTATTTTTTCAAATTCTGCTGGGTATGTATTCCCAGTTTTCCTACAGACAGAATCAAGAGGACATAGAATTACAGAATTTTAAGGAATCTTAGAATGAATTAAAATACTTTCTAGTATTTTTACCTGTATTGAACATTCTGGTCAAGTGATTCTCTAGATAGAGAATGTGAGGCTCAAAGAGATTAGGATGCTTTTTTTTTAGACATAGGAATGGGCAGAAATGAGATTTGAACTCATTTTAAGGCCCAGTACTCTTCCTTCTTTTTATATCCTATTTGCATGTGCTTTAATAATACAAATGGGAGTGAGTCCGGTGCACCCAGTGGATAGTATGAGAATGGAATTAGCTGGTGAACCCAATGGAAGTAGATAAGAATGGAATGAGCAGGGAAAGGCCATGTTTGAAGAGAAACAACACTGGATTGGATAGGAGTATGGACTCTTCAATAAGAGATCAAAATATTGGAGTTTATGACAAGTTTGATAAAGAGTTCAAGGGAGCTCTAAAAAGTTTGCTCCTTTTTTTTTAAATCAAGGACTGACAAACCTGAAGAATTTTACTGAAAGATGCTAAAACATTTTGAGACAGTGGGAGGAGTGTCTACAGCAGATAGAAATGTGGTGTCATCTACTTCCATCCTGACTTTCAGAGGGGTGGCTTAGAGCCCTTGGAGTACTAAGGGGCTGGAGATTGCTGGACTACATAGATGTGTGGCCCAGGACAGGTGGCCTCTTCACCTCTGCCTCTGTTCCTGATTCACTGATGTCATTCCCATGTCCATGTAGGCTGGGTCAGGGGCATGATTGGCTGGCAAATCAGTCATGGAGTTCAGTTGGGTAGTTGGTAGTATGTCTATGCTGGGTGCAGGTGATGGAGACTCCAGTTAGCTTGTTTTTCAGGAGCAGGGATATAGAGGGCTCCTACTCCTGGTCATTTGAGGCCATCCTTTCAGGAATCTGTGCTTTCATAGGCTGAAGATTTGAAGATTGGAGACTTCTGTGGAGCCCTGCAGAAGTGGAATCTGGAAGTGGGAGCCCATAGGAAGATAGATACTTAGATAGTACTTAGGAAAATAGAGGTACAACTACCAGGACTCTGTCTTTCTGGCAGTCTCTCTCCTTGGGTGTCTGAGTGCCTATGAAAATTTTTAAGGGCTTGCTAGTTTATGTGGACCTGAATAAAGTAGGACTTATAGAGTGAAAATAATGGGATTTTATAATTATTAATATTTTAATCTTTCTGGGAAAAGTATTCTCAATAAGAACATACACCTTTGTTATTTGATTTTTGTACATGTAGCTTTCATACCTTTCAAATATTGCATGGGATTTCCTGTACCGATTTAGGGCAAAGGAAAGCAATAGGACATTCCTAAGTGGGTTCCATGTTGAGGAATCAAGACTGCCATTTCAAAGTGATACAGATTAGTCTTTTAACCAGAGATAGATCATGGAAAAGAGACAGTGGATCTTTCTACCTTGTTTTAGGTCATCAGTTTTCTTCCAGTTTAGGTAACAAAATTTATGTCATCCATTAATTGAGTTTTAAGTTCAGCTTCAGGACAGATAATCTGTGAGGGCAAATTATTGTCAGGCTCTGCCAATATATTGACTGTCACTATTTGTTATGAAGCTGAAGGTTAGTTTTCATTGAATATTTTATAGATTTAGACAGGTGGAGGCAGAAATTGGTAATTAAAATCTATTTTTAGAACAGAGGACATATTTTAATTATATCAAGAATCATAATTTAATATATAGATCACTGAACTTTCCCCAGATTATTCTTTCCTTTTTTGAGGGGAAAGCTGGATATAAACTGGCAGTTAAAAAATTGTAAAGAAATCAACTTGCTCATTTTCATTGTGTATTTTTGCTCTCAAGCATTTTCCATGAACTGTGTGTGGATTCATTGTCTGCATTGGATGACGAACTCTTGAGTGTTGCTGCTAAGGTAAAGTGGTCTCTTGTAAAATTAATTTTCTCACTCTGAATGTAGTTTTGCATAGTACTTACTTTTCAAACTTAGCAGTGGTTTACCTATCATTGTTTTATGGTGGTAATGGAAAGTGGGTCAGAGAAAAACATATATGTGGCTAGTTGACTGAAAAAATTTGTTTAACTTTGGTAACTAACAAAGATTGATAAGTACTGTGACAGGGTAGGAGCTGAAAAAAATGAACTGGAAAATAAGTAGTGAGAGGAAAATCACATTAGGAAGTGCTTTCTCCAATAGAGGAAATATGAAATTTGATTAAGCTTTATTTGGATAAATACTAATACTTTGACTTTTAAATCATATGAGTGTGACTTTCATAATATTTATGCCTGTATAACTCTTCAGTGGATCAAATTATTTGTAGTAATCATGGAATTCTCCTGGTAACTTTTAGTTGCAAAAAGGTTCAGCACATAGCATACAGCTTTTGTTCTTGGAAACTTATTATTTTGGTATCACATAGTTTTTAGGAGAGATTGTTTCTCTACTTATATTATTGGTTCTGTAGTGAGACTAAAATAATATTAAAAATTGTAGAAAAATAGCTGAGTGTGGTGGTGTACACCTGTAGTCCCTGCTACTTGGGAGTTTGATGCAGGAAGATTGCTTGAGCCCAGGAATTTGAGAACAGCCTGGGCAACATAACAAGACTGTATCTGATTTAAAAATATAAATTGTGGAAACATAGACATTTAAATTTATGTTCTCAAAATTTGTATTGCAAAGGGATTTTTGTGTGTTTTATGAGTTGTCCATGAAGAGTTCATATAAAACACTTCATCTAATTGAATAACATGTATTTTGCTGCAAATAACCAGTTCTAGAAGCAGAGACTCTTAATACCAATATGGTAAGACTTTATCATCATAATTTTGTCATTGTAGTTTATTTAAAATATTTACTTGGCTGGGTGTGGTGGCTCACACCTGTAATCCCAGCCCTTTTGGAGGCTGAGGTGGGTAGATCACCTGAGGTCAGGAGTTCAAGATCAGCCTGGCCAACGTGATGAAACCCTGTCTCTAAAAAAAAAAAAAAAGAAAAAAAAAAAAGCACAAAAATTAACCAGGTGTGATGGTGCATGCCTGTAATCCCAGCTGCTCAGGAGGCCACGGTGGGAGAATTGCTTGAACCTGGGAGGCAGAGGTTGCAGTGAGCCAAGATCGCACCATTGCACTCCAGCCTGGGTGACAGAGCAAGACTACATCTTAAAAAATAAAATAACCACTCAAAGTCCTTATATCCTATTCTGAAATTTTGAATGTCAGAAGGTTTTCTATTTAGTTGTTTAAATAATCATTGGAAGCTCCTGCATACTACAGGCTACTGGAGGTCAGTAAACATATTTGTGTGTATCCTGGAGTACCTAGAATACAGTCTTCCATGTAAAAAGCATTTTACTTGTTGTTTTTTGTGATGGGGTTTCACTCTGTCACCCAGGCTGGAGGGCACTGGTGAAATCTTGGCTCACTCCGATCTCCATTTCCTGGGCTCAGGAGATCCTCACACTTCAGCCATCCAAGTAGTTGAAACAATAGAGGTATGTCACCATAGACCTGTGTCACCATGCTCGGCTGAGTTTTGTAGAGACAGGGTTTTGCCTTGTTGCCGAGGCTGGTCTTTAACTGTTGGGCTCAAGTGTTCTGCCCGCCTCAGCCTCTCATAGTGCTGGGGTTACAGGCATGAGACATTCAGCCTTAATAGTTGTTTAATCTGAATAAATAGACAAATGAATTTTTATATAATGGAATGTTATAAGTAATATAATATACCTAATGTATCTAACAATTAAATATTATATTTAAAATATTGCTTACATTTGTATTATTTTTTAATATTTAAGGGCGTATAAGTTTTGATGTGTTATGTTGATAAATTGTGCCATAATTAAAAAGGAAATAAATTAGAAATAGGTCATCAGTAGCAAAGAGGGTTACAATATATTTTCTAGTATCATTGAACTGGAATCTTAACATTGAGATTTTAGATTAACATTTCTTAAGCTTTTTATTAGTCCCAACTCAGGTTCTATTAAATATACCTTTTCAAGCCATACATTACCCTTTATTATTATTATTATTATGTTTTAAGTTCTCGGGTACATGTGCACAACGTGCAGGTTTGTTACATATGTATACATGTTCCATGTTGGTGTGCTGCACCCATTAACTCATCATTTACATTAGACATATCTCCTAATGCTATCCCTTCCCCCTCCCTCCACCCCACAACAGGCCCCTGTGTGTGATGTTCCCCTTCCTGTGTCTAAGTGTTCTCATTGTTCAGTTCCCACCTATGAGTGAGAACATGTGGTGTTTGGTTTTCTGTCCTTGCTCAGAATGATGGTTTCCAGCTTCATCCATGTCCCTACAAAGGACTGAACTCATCCTTTTTTATGGCTGCATAGTATTCCACGATGTATATGTGCCACATTTTCTTAATCCAGTCTGTCATTGTTGGACATTTGGGTTGGTTCCAAGTCTTTGCTATTGTGAATAGTGCTGCAATAAACATACTTGTGCATGTGTCTTTATAGCAGCATGATTTATAATCGTTTGGGTATATACCCAATAATGGGATGACTGGGTCAAATGGCATTTCTAGTTCTAGATCCTTGAGGAATCACCACACTGTCTTCCACAATGGTTGAACTAGTTTACAGTCCCACCAACAGTGTAAAAGTGTTCCTATTTCTCCACATCCTCTCCAGCACCTGTTGTTTCCTGACTTTTTAATGATCGCCATTCTAACTCGTGTGAGATGGTATCTCATTGTGGTTTTGATTTGCATTTCTCTGATGGCAAGTGATGATGAGCATTTTTTCATGTGTCTGCCATACATTACTCTTTAGAATTCTGGTGACCAATTCTTTTTCTGGGTGGAACGTTGATGGAAAGTTCCAGTTTTCTCTCTCTGTTATAATAATGTTCTTTCAGGTAGTGGTAGATGACCATATTTAGTTAACTGAATGTCTTATAGTAATAAACTCTATCACAGAAGTACTTACAAAAAACTAATTGTAGCATAAATATTAATTAGTATTATCAGGGATATGAAAGACCAGAAGGCTCTGTTATAGATCTATTTCCCCATGTACTTTATTGTACTTCATGTTGTTTCTTTTCTTTCTTGGCTTAAGCTCATATTTCATTGACCAATTAGGCTTCTTTTTTGTTTGTATGTCTCTTCATTCTCACATTTTAAATTGATATTTTTGGGGAGTCAGGGTCTTGCTCTGTTGCCCAGGCTGCAGTGTAGTGGCATGATCTTGGCACACTACAGTCTCCACCTCTCAGGCTCAAATGATCCTCCCACATCAGCTTCCCAAGCAGCTGGGACTACAGGCACACACCATCATGCCTGACTCCTTTTGGTATTTTTTGTGTAGAGATGTGTTCTCATTATGTTGCCCAGGCAGGTCTCAAACTCCTGAACTCAAGCAATCCACCCACCTTGGCCTTGCAAAGGGCTGAGATTACAGGTGTGAGCCACCATGCCTGGGCAACATTGAGATTGATTTAAAGAAATTGATTAGGGCTGGGTGTGGTGGTGCACACTGCTTATCTCAACACTTTGGGAGGCAGAAGTCGAAGATTTACTCAAGCCTAGGAGTTTGAGACCAGCCTGGGCAGTATAATGAGGCCTTGTTTCTACAAAGATAACAATAAAAACATTAGCATGGCATGATGGTATGCACCTGTAGTTCCAGCTATTCAGGAAGTTGAGGTGGGAAGATTGCTTGAGGTCAGGAGTTTGAGACCACAGTGAGCCATAATCAGGCCCCTGCATTCTAGCCCTGGGTTGACAGAGTGAGACCCAGTTTCATAAAAAGAGATTGATAAGAAAGTCTTGATGCAACTCATTATAATTTTAAAATGGAAATTAATTCTTGATATTACCTTAGCAGTGTGTCCCCGAGAAAGTGTCAGAGCCTTTACGTGGACCTTCCCATGGAAAAGGAAACAGAATAGTCAATGGAAAAGGAGAAGGTGAGAACCGTATTTTATTTAAAAAGTCATTTGTTGCAGGCTGGGTGCGGTGGCTCACGCCTGTAATCCCAGCACTTTGGGAGGCTGAGGTGGGCAGATCATGAGGTCAGGAGATCGAGACAATCCTGGCTAACATGGTGAAACCCCATCCCTACTAAAAATACAAATAATTTGCCAGGTATGGTGGTGGGCCCCTGTAGTCCCAGCTACTTGGGAGGCTGAGGCAGGAGGATAGTGTGAACCTGGGAGGTGGAGCTTGCAGTAAACGGAGATCACTCCACTGCACTCCAGCCTGGGTGTCAGAGTGAGACTCTGTCTCAAAAAAAAAAAAAAAGTCATTTGATGGAATGTTTCTTTGAAAATATGAGCACTAATAGAGTCTAATAGCTAAAGAAAATGTCCTATTAGCTGTATAATAAGTAAAGGAGAAGTGAAATGGTGATAAGTTGTGTCTCTAACCAAGGGTCAGCAGTTGATTCTATTGGGAGTACCACTAAAGGAGCTGAGTTGTGAGTTCCATTTTAAGATACTCTAAGACCTAAGGCAAGTCAGGAGAGAGGGAAGAGGAAATGAATAAAAGAGAAAGAAAGATGAGGGCAGAGTGTACATGGAATAAATAAAAACACATATGCAGATGTATGTAATAGAGGGTAGTAAAGTCAAATTGATCTGTAGAAAAAGGAAGAACAGGGTGTTAGAAATAGGAAGGAAGATAAAGTGAGCTTCCAGTACCAACATGTGTCAGAGAATTAGAGTAACATTTTCCTACCCTTGCTGTCATCCTCACTACTGGGGAGGCATTAAGGATTGAGGTATTTTACCACACAGACCTGTGTTTTATCTACCATAGATGAACATCACCATAAATGGTCAGCCATGTATGGCTATAATTTGGTTTTAAAGAAAATGTTGTAACCTCATAGGATACTATCATATAGGCTAAATTAACATAATTGAAAAGAATAGTGTTGGGTGATGTATGGAAAGAAATTAACTAGAGAAGGTATTACCTGATTAAAAGTTATTAAAAGCCATATTAACATTATGGCTTATAATGTAGTATTAAATTCAGAGACATAATAGGGAAGAAATTGAGGCTAGGCCAAAAAGGGCAATTAGGGTAAACTAATATGGAATCACATAAAGTGTAGAACAGGGCATTCAGATCGTCATGAATTAGTTGAGGAGCTTCTAGAAACTGCACATTCTGATTTAGCGGGTATGGGAGTCTGCGTTTCTCATGAGTACTCAGGTGATGTTGTTGCTGGTCCTTGGACACAGCTCTGAATAGCAAGGGAATAGCCTTCCTTTAGAGAAATCTGGAAAAAGAACCACTGGAGAGCAATTTGAATAATAACAGAATCCAGGGAAAGCATTAATTTTCTTTTATTTCTGAGCATCATTCTAGCTACAGGGGAAGGAAAATGAGATGAAAAAAGAGAGATTACAGGTGTATACTACTGCTGAATACAGATGAAAAAAGTGGTCACAAGTATCCATAAAAAGCAGTTAGGAAGGGAAGCATCAGGATGACAGATCTAAAAATCCCTTTTTCAAAGGAAGAGGGATTGTGAAAGGACACAGAGGGAAGAAAGAAAGACATTTGCTGGGGTCTTGGGAGTTAAAGCCAAGTAAACTTGAGACAACTCACTTCCAGTTGCTTCAGCATATGCCCAGTCTCACAAAAGAGGTTATTGCTGTGGAGAGTACTGGAGGCAGGAGGGAGTGCTAGAATTGGGGTAAACCACAGCAGCTCATTTCACTTCATAATTGTCAGGCCTCAGAGAGAGAAGTTTCATTGACATGAGTGAATAAGATGTGATTAAGTTGCATATAGATGCTTTGGCTAATTTTTTTTGAGATAGCCAGTTCTTTGATATGATAGCTGCTTTATAAAAGTCCTTTACAGTGTAAGATGATATACCAAACTTAGTTAATTTTAGAAGCAATTGTGTTATAAAATTCATTCTGTGAATACCAAAATTCTCATTTTCAATAGATACTGCACTGATTTTGAAATATAAATGTGTATTCGTGTCTAGCAAGTCTGTGGTAATTCAGTGTTTTCTTTTTTGATAAATATTTTGATATTGGAAGCTTATTCGACATGGTTTATTTGATGTGTTTTATGGACCACCTCACACAAGTGGATCAAGGAGCTCTAACTCAAGGCCAAATGAGGGGATAGGAGAAATGTTGGTGCTGCAGTAGCCCATGTGATCATGGGAAAAATGAGTAGTTTGATTAGCTGTTATTTCATAAGTGTGTATCCTAGCTGATCAATGTAGAACACTTTCTTTGATGAGAGGTGAATCACACATTCACCTGAACTGTCATCCCAACTGTATATTTCCTAAGTGACAAGACAAGGGGAATTTGTTTGTGCTGTGCTGGCAGCAATGCCTCTGATGTGTTGAGTTAAAATACTCTGTACATTCACCATCAGCTTGGACATCGATTCCCTCAGGTTTGATTTGCTCGTCTGTTTAGTGGTCCCTTTTCTTCTCATCAGCCCACATGTTCACGGTGATATCCATGCTTTTCTATTTTAGGTATAGGCATTTGAAACATAATCTCACTACTGAAATGTAGGCTGTGCATTTTAGGAATCCTATATTCCTATTTTCCTCATTAGGTTTCTGTCATGTTGCTGTCCTAGGCAATGAAAAGAAGAAGCCAAGAAGAACCCTCAAAACCTTAAGTAATTATTTTTGTAGCCAGGCATGAGAATTCAGCTCGATAGTAACACTGCATGAATGTTTGGTTGGCCCTGTCATACTTACATATAATTGATGACATATCCCTTTTGCTTTGTAGGGCCTCCTGCAAAACATCCTTCCTTGAAGGTAATTAATTATGTATATTTTTTGAATCACTAACTCCACATTGTATAAAATATATATGATTTATGAATCATTTTCTTTTAAAACCCATTCAGCCTAGCACTGAAATGGAAGATCCTGCTGTGAAAGGAGCAGTACAAAAAAGAATGTACAGACATTGAGAGCAGGTACCTATTCAATACAAATGGAATGCTGGAAATAAGTACATTAAATGATTGGAAGTACTCACATTATTCTTACCCCTAATTCTGTTTGTTCAAAATTGAATGGAAGGCATTGACATAAATGTTATTGTTGGTATCCATATTTGAATAAAAATAAATTTAGAAGCATAAAAAAGATTTTAAAAATGTAAGCTTTAACTCAGATGTTTCTCTTTTAATGTTTTGAAGAGCATGAAGTTTTCAGTATAAAATTTTCATACTTGTCAGGGATTCAAAGCACTGAATTTTGAGACTCTAAGATATTTCCATTGATTTATGTGCTAGTTGGAGTTCTGATCTTTACGTAGAGGAAAGCTTTACTTATTAACGTGTCAGTTTCTGTTTTAACTTTAGAGGCTTTCTGCTAGTGTTACTACACTGATGATCTGAAGCCAATCAGACGTTCTAGTGAGCAAGACTGTGTGTGCATGTGTATGTATGGGTGTGTGTATGTGTGTGTATGTGTGTTTGTGGCATCTTTGACTATTAAAAATGAGGAAAGTAATTATTCATTTATAACTGTTAGACACAGTCTTTTAAAACGGTGATTTTGAGACTTTTTGGTGTTAAGGTTTTTAAAACATGATTGCATAGTGGCTACCAACATCATAAGTTGGTCGTTTTTCATTTCAATGCCCTTTTGAAATCTTTAACTATATTGTGATGCTCAGAAATAATATGCAGAATTTTTTGTGTCCTAAAATGGTATGTGAGTGGTTATACACTTTACATACTATTCTGCCACTTTCTTTGGTGTATTTTGTATTATATTTTCCAGATGTATCCACATTGACATGATTATCTCTGGTTTAATTCATTTTACACTTTTCATTGTATTCCCTTATACCACTTTACCACATTTCATTAGACTCTCCTGTTGCTGATAAATGAAGAAAGAAAGAAAAATAAAAATAATGTCAGATTAAGAGGGCTTTTCTTTAAACAGTTTGTATCTATTAATATTTACTATATGAGAGTTTAAAGTTGAAAAGTTCAGAATACAAGCATGCACCAACCATGTTTGATAAATGTCCTTAGAACTATGACTCGTGAGCCTTTAGCCTATGAAGTTAGGACAATTCATTTCTCTGAAGAAGTTTGCTGTGCTATTCTCAGAAAAGAAAACTGAAAATAGCAAATGATATTGTCTTAGATGACCTCTTGGACATCCTTGAATGAAACTGAAACTCCAGGGATACTTGGATCAAAATTCAGAACTAATGTTTTGAACAATATAGTTTGTGAATGTCCAGTGATCATGAGCCCTTGATGGGGAAATGACCTTTCAAGTTTCACTTTTGCATTTTTTGCTCTTTTCCTTGACTCATCTTAAAAGCTTAAATTCAACCGTTTTATTTTTACAGAAACCAGGAATATAACTTTTAAAATATATGTCTGTCCTGTCTCACGGTGTTGTGTACTCTTCAGATCTTTTGTGAACATAGACTTATATGGGAATGATTATGTTTTTTGTTTGTTTGTTTGTGTTTTTGAGACAGAGTCTTGCTCTGTCACCAAAGCTGGAGTGCAGTGGCTCAGTCTTGGCTCATTACCACCTCTGCCTCTCAGGTTCAAGCAATTCTCCTGCCTCAGCCCCTTGAGTAGCCAATACTACCTGCACATGCTACCATACCCTGCTAATTTTTCTATTTTTAGTAGAGATGGGGTTTCAGCATGTTGGCCAGGCTTCTCTCAAACTCCTGACCTCAGGTGATCTGCCCACCTCGGCTTGCCAATGTGCTGGGATTACAGGCGGGAGCCACTGTGCCAGCTACAAATAAGATTTTTAAGGCTATTATATTTTATACAATTCTTTGGTCTATGTGAATTCTGAAGGTATTCATGCATTGAGGGAAGATTATATCAGTTTAATGAAAGCAGTTTTTAATTTAATGTATATTCATTAAAATTTTTTTTGAAGTTTTTGTCTCTAGTACACAGAAACACACAATAATGTCATGGGTATTTGACCTTAATGTGTTTATGCACAAACTTAGTTATTCAAATATCTTCTTATCCCTGAAGAATCTTAATTACTAATAAACAAATTTCTCATGGAAAACAACATATATAATAGAGATCGTTGAGTGATTGAAAGTAAATTATAGTAAATAACAGAAGCTTAGAACAAGTTAAGTAAACTTGTCTGAGTTAATAGCAATTACAGGACTTTTAAAATACGTTAGACCATGAGGGACTGGTGTGTTTGTGAGGTAGAGGACAACATGGTACTGCTTCAGTGAAGAAAGAACTTTTACAACTTATTACAATTTGTATTACTGTTTACATTCTAATAAATAAAAACTTTATTTTCAGATATTTTAGATTATGTTTCTACTAGTTGAACCATCAATAGTAAGACTTTTCAAAGATTTGGGAAGTTGTGAGTTGACGATAAATATCTGTATCGCCATCCGTGAT